>NC_000017.11:3066868-3218383 GCF_000001405.40 Homo sapiens | reverse complement strand
GGTTCTAGATCCTTGAGGAGTCACCACACTGTCTTCCATGATAGTTGAACTAATTTACACTCCCACCAACAGTGTAAAAACCTTCCTATTTCTCCACATCCTCTCCAGCATATGTTGTTTCCTTACTTTTTAATGATCGCCATTCCAACTGGCATGAGATGGTGTCTCATTGTGGTTTTGATTTGCATTTCTCTAACGACCAGTGATGTTGAGCTTTTTTTCATATGTTTATTGGCTGCATAAATGTCTTCTTTTGAGAAGTGTCTGTTCATATCCTTCGCCCACTTTTTCATGGGGTGGTTTTTTTCCTGTAAATTTAAGTTCTTTGTAGATTCTAGATATTAGCCCTTTGTCAGATGGATAGATGGCAAAAATTTTCTCCCATTCTGTAGGTTGCCTGTTCACTCTGATGATAGTTTCTTTTGCTGTGCAGAAGCTCTTTAGTTTAATTAGATCCCATTTGTCAATTTTGGCTTTTGTTGCCATTGCTTTTGGTGTTTTAAACATGAAGTTTGCCCATGCCTATGTCCTGAATGGTATTGCCTACGTTTTCTTCTAAGGTTTTTATGGTTTTAGGTCTTACGTTTAAGCCTTTAATCCATCTTGAGTTAATTTTTGTATAAGATGTAAGAAAGGGGTCCAGTTTCATTTTTCTGCATATGGCTAGCCAGTTTTCCCAACACCATTTATTAAATAGGGAATCCTTTCCCCATTTCTTGTTTTTGTCAGGTTTGTCAAAGATCAGATGGTTGTAGATGTGTGGTGTTATTTGTGAGGTCTCTGTTCTGTTCCACTGGGCTACATGTCTGTTTTGGTACCAGTACCATGCTGTTTTGGTTACTGTAGCCTTGTAGTATAGTTTGAAGTCAAGTAGCATGATGCCTGTAGCTTTGTTCTTTTTGCTTATGATTGTCTTGGATATACGGGCTCTTTTTTAGTTCCATACGAAATTTAAAGAAGTGTTTTCTAATTCTGTGAAGAATGTCAATGGTAGTTTGATGGGAATAGCATTGAATCTATAAATTACTTTGGGCAGTATGGCCATTTTCATGATATTGATTCTTTGTATAAAAGAGGATGGAATGTTTTTCCATTTGTTTTTGTCCTCTCTTATTTCCTTGAGCAGTGGGTTTTAGTTTTCCTTGAAGAGTTCCTTCATGTCCCTTGTAAGCTGTATTCCTAGGTATTTTATTCCCTTTGTAGCATTTGTGAATGGGAGTTTCTTGAAAGGTTTAAAGGATGAGAAAATAATGTCTGGTTTGATTATCCCTAATTATAATATTACGTTTCAGATATTAATATCTTATTCATTCCACTTCCACCAGTATTTATTGGATGCACTTTATCTGACCAAGATTGGGAAGGTACAGTGATGTGTAAAAACAACTCCTGCCCTCAGAGGCTTGCAAGCCTAATAAGGGTGATTAAACTTAACAGTCAAATAAAAATGGACACATGAATAGTGATTTATAATCTTGGAAGCATGAGCTATTGTAATCAACACACCATGTGACCCATGTAGGGCACTTATTATTCCTAACATGTAGATGTGAAAGCTGAGGCTCAGATCTTCCCAACTTGACTCTGCTCATCAGGACATATGCCCTATATCCCTGTGCTGCCACTCTGCCAAAAAGAGCAGCAATGAGTTGAAAGTGGTAATTTCAATAATCACTTATTATTAACTTATTAAAATGTTATAAGAGTTCTGAGATTAGGAATTTCAGGCTAGAAAGATCAGAGACTGCCTCTCGTAGGAGGATGACATCAGAACTGGATTTCCAATATACCGTAACTGGTGACTACGGTATCCAATGTAGGCCCTCACATTGGTTACGAGGAGATTCTCTTGTTGAAGAGTTTCCGCAGGGCAGCCTTCATGTCCCGATTTCTCAGACTGTAGATGAAAGGATTTAACATTGGGGTCACTGCCGTGTACATTACAGTGATCACTGCGTCTTTTAGGCTATAATTGGTCAAAGGGCGGAAATACGTGCCCATGACTGTACCATAATACAAAGAGACAACCGTGAGGTGGGAACCACAGGTGGAGAAGGCCTTGAGCACGCCCTTGGTGGAAGGAACCTGGAAGACTGTGGAGAAGACTCGAATATAGGAGACAATGATGCATAGTAATGGCACAGAGAAAATGCCAACCCCTAGGTACATCATCTTCACATGAAAGTGGATGTCAGAACAGGATAACTTCAGCAAGGGGGTAATGTCACAGTAGAAGTTGGCCACTTCCTGGTTGCCACAGAAGGACAGACTAGCTGTGAGCAGAGTGTGGGGGAGGGCATTGGCATTTCCAATCACCCAAGACCCAGCAATAAGCCAGATACAAGACCGTGGACTCATAATTGTTGTGTAGTGAAGTGGGCGGCTGATGGCCACAGCTCGATCATATGCCATTGCAGCCAAAATATAGCTGTCTGTGTTACCCAAGGCTATCATGAAATACATCTGCGTTAGGCATCCCCCAAAAGAGATGGATTTGCTGCCCAAGAGATGGTTGGCCAGCATCTTAGGGATGGTTACCGATGAGAAGAAGATGTCAACCAAGGAGAGGTTGGCAAGGAGAAAATACATGGGGTTGTGAAGGCGAACATCAGAGCAAATGGCTAGGACGATGAGCAGGTTTCCAATCAATGTGATGGGGTAAATGAACAAGAAGAGGATGTAGAAGAAATCTTCCTGTTCCTGCTGACCAGTAACTCCCAGGAGGATGAATTCCAGTGTAGAGGACTGGTTATTTTCCCTCATGGCTTCTTTAACATGAAAGGGGAGAGGAATATCATTATATTAGCATAGTTACTGTGTGTAGTGATAATCCTTCTCCATCACTTCTGACTTAAGTGATTCAGCTGTGTATACACCTGAGTTTATTAAATTATAGAGATATCCAGTATTTTGGGGAAACATCCCTGTAGGTCAATAGGACTAATTGTCATTCACCCCTTTATAGTCATGTCTAAAAAGTGAGCAATCTCTGAATCAGAAGTGCCCATCCTTCCTGTTCCAAGCACCACCACTAAACGCCTAGAAATTAATCATATAACAAATAATTGTCATGTCCCATGGTCTAGTCACTTTGTTAGACCTCATGGAGAAGTTATAAATATGTGACAAATACAGTTTATTCATCTATTTATTCAAGACGTGGTCTCTGTTCTCAAGGACCTTACAACTTAGTGGAGAAGCCAAAATCACACACTAATTTTATTACCCATGATAAGGAGAGGACAGCATTTTGAAGTCTTTGACAAAATATTCCAGTGCAAAAGGTCTGCTGGTGAAAGGGCCAGCCCAGAAATTAGGAATTTTTCCATTGAAAAAACTCAGAGGGATCCCAGAGCCCAGGAGGTAACATGTATCTACACTGTGTCGGAAGATTGTAAATCACAGGGACCAGTGCATTTAGATCCTACTAAAACAGTCTGGAGAATTTTCTCCCCAGGTGTCTCATTTTCAAAGTAAATTTTCACCATTTCCTTTAAAAGAAAGGAAAAAAGAGTTGTTGGTTTTTTTTCTCTCTTTGGCAAGCCCTCAAGTATATACAATCACAATGCCTTTCTCTCAGCCTTCTCTTCCTGTTCTTAATTATTTCTTTGGGTGACTCAAGCAACTGCTTAGTGGCTTCAACCATTGCTTAGTAAACTGTGAGGTTTACATCTGTAGGTGTGAACTTTTCCCTCCGTATTTCCACTTCACTCATACTGCCAACGTGACCAAACTGCACATCCAACCTAAGATGAGGGCAAGATTTTAGGGGAAGGAAAACCATATCTTGTTTATTTTTACCTCCTTCAGATAGACTATTATGGAATATTTTCTTTTTTTTTTTTTTTCTTTTTTTTTTGAGATGGAGTCTCACTGCATCTTGCCCAGGCTGGAGTGCAGTGGTGTGATCTCGGCTCACCGCAACCTCCGCCTCCCAGGTTCAAGTGATTCTCCTGCCTCAGCCTCCTGAGTAGCTGGGATTACAGGCATGTGCCACTACGCCTGGCTAGTTTTTTGTTGTTGTTGTTGTTATTGTTTGTATTTTTAGTAGAGATGGAGGTTTCATCACATTGGCCAGGCTGGTCTCAAACTCCTGACCTCAGGTGATCCGCCCGTGTCGGCCTCCCAAAGTGCTGGGATTACAGGCGTGAGCCACCGTGCCCAGCCAAATATTTTCTATTGTATGTATCAATAAGTTTTCTCTTAATATTTTTTGAGTCAAATCCAGGTATATTTCTTGTACTCCCCATATGTGGGATGCTCACAAGCTTAATGACTCAGTTTCTCTCTCACCTCTACATCTAATCTTGTTGATTCTTCCTTTAAAATAATTATTACATAATTCAGCCTTTCTACTAAATGTCCCAGTGCTTCAGCTCCATCATTGTTTTCTCCCTGAAGTATTGTAATGCTAACTCAACTGCTTGACTCCAGGTTTCCTCCTCTTTGATCCGTCTTGTACTCTAAGACTTAAATTACAGCGGCAACGATCAGCTGCTTAGTCAAATCCGTGTTGTTCTCTTCTTCTTGGACGTTCAATTAGACTACATTTCCCAGACTCCCTTGCAGTGAGGTGTGCTCATGTGACTGAGTTCTAGCCATTCCACACGTGTCCCAGTTCTGGGCTCCTCCACACCTTCTTACCCTTGTGCCAGTTGGATGCAAATGGAGAGGAGGCTGAACAGGATGATGGAGACACATGATGGAATGAACCTGTATCCCCAGTACTCCACACTCAGGAGAACCTCCCCCAAACAAAAACATTTATTGTAACCATTATGTAGGAGAGAAATAAACCTTTACTTTGTTTAAGCCATTTTACATTTTGTGATCAACTTGTGACAGTTCTGCAGAATATCTAGCATTTACTAATTTTTCTAAAGAGATATTGACTCAAAAATATATTAGATCTGTAATTAATTCAATCCTCACTTCTCAGCATCTCTTGTAGTACATGTTTGAATCATGTGCTAGGTATGAGGGATGTAGGTCTAATCATCTTTATCATTTCTCATTGATACAGGAGGTAGAAAGAAATTATTTAGGCAGATAGTGAAAGTAAAAGAGTCTTTGGCAGAGCTTCCCTTTTAACAAAAAGCAGCCCAATAAATTACTTTTTTTCTAACAAAGAGCAGCCTGAGAAATTGAGCTGCAGACATAGACAAGCAAGCCGGAAGCCTGCACAGGGGAAGGCTGGCAGCTGTGCCAATAGGAAAGGGCTACCTGGGGGCCAGACATATCCAACATGGAGGCTCCATCTTCCTTTTTTTGTTATCATGTGTACAATAAGGGAATGGGCAACGTGGTGCAGGCCAGACGGAGAACCTACCTGCATAATTAAAGATTAGGGTGGGGGCTACCAGAAATTCATGCCCTATGCAAATGGCACATCTAGTCCTAATCAGTTTTTCACACCCTATGCTAATGACACACCTGGTCCAGCCAGTCTTTCCTGCTCCATGTAAATCAGACTCTACCTCCTCACCAGGCGTCTAACCCCCTGCCTCCATTTCACTGCAGATCCGGCAGCCCATTTCTCCAAGAACCCTCTCTCCAGCAGAGAGCTATCCTCTTTCTTTCACCTATTAAACTTCCACTCTTATCCTCACTCTGTGTGTATCCACGTCCTTGATTTCCTTGGCTGTGAGGCAAGGAACCTCGGGTATTACCCCAGACAAGGAGGCCATTTCATAATTATGATGTACTTTCTCATCTCTGCGCCTAAAGAAGTTTGATTTTCTCTCTTGAGATGCCCTCCCCCTTCTTCAAATAGAATCATAATACCTCAGGTGTCAAATCGTTCAGTAAATCTGGAGAGGCAGAGAGCATGGTTAGCTCATATGGTACGGATATGTGAGTTCAGAGGTGGAGCTCTTGGCATCATGGCAGACTAAGTTGATGTTGACAGTTCCCATTGCTGTTAAAATACATTGAAGTTATAGAAAAATATCAAAGTAAAGAAAAAAAAAACCCAAAACACATAACCATACCTAAAAGAAAGAAATAGGAATACCTTAGTGTGAGAAACAAGAATAAAACTCAGAACAAGAAACATGAGCCATAGAGGATGCTGTGGTGGCCCCTTGGGGTCTCCATTCAGACATTAGCTAGTTCTTAATGGCTGGGTATAAGGTCTTTATGCCCCTTGATACAGTGTGACCACAGATCCACACGAAGCAGGGAGACTAATTTGAGACTCTGTTAAAAAACCCTTGAAGTGTTGTCCTATTTCTGAAAAGAACACTAGAAAGAATTTTGCCATAAAAGAATTGGAAAGAAAAGAACAAAAAGATAAGAGTTCATAGAAAATATTGTCTACAAAGAAAACCCAAGGGAATTGATGTTTCAGCAAGTTTGTTATAAACAAGTATTTCAAAAATCAATACTATTCTTGTACTTAAACACTAAATTAGAAAATGGAATTCATTTTTACTTTTTCCCAGAGACCCTTTTTCCAGTGCAAGAAAATATAATTTTAATAAAGATTTATTTTTTAAAATGGCCATAGAAAATTTTAAGGAATCTAGAAATAATTCTAATAAGAGATCCAAAATTGATTTAAAAAATAAACTTTAGTGAAGCACAAAAATATTTAAAAGGTGGTGAGGTAAATTGTTAATGGAAGCCTCAATATTGTGAAAATGTCAGTCCTCTTCCAATTACTCTCTAAATGTAATGCAACCCCAAACCAGATACAAGTTTCTTTTAAACATGAGTTTGACAAACTGATCCAAAAATTCATGTAGGAGACTGGGCACGGTGGCTCACATCTGTAATCCCAGCACTTTGGGAGGCCGAAGCAGGCGGATTACCTGAGGTCAGGCATTTGAGACCAGCCTGGCCAACATGGAAAAACCCCATCTCTACTAAAAATACAAAAATTAGCTGGGCGTGGTGGTGCACACCTGTAATCCCAGCTACTTGGGAGGCTGAGGCAAGAGAATTGCTTGAAACTGCGGGGGCAGAGGTTGCAGTGAGCCGAGATTGTACCACTGCACTCCAGCCTGGGGGAAGGAGCAAAATTCTGACTCAAAAAAAAAAAATTCATTTAGGAGAATAAAGAGGAGAGATAAGACAATTTGAGGAAAGAAAGTGAGGTACTTTTTGTCTCATTAGGTACAAAAAAGGTTTACTGTGATAATTCAAACATCGGAGTAATAGTGAGTTAGAGACCGACAAAGAAATCAATATTTGGTCTAATCGACTAGGAAGGCCAGACACAGGTTAAGCATTTCTTAGAAAGTGGTGTGTGACATGAGGTGGTTTAGAAACAGGCAAGGAGACGATGAACTATTTAGCCCAGAGTCATTGGACAGTTGGTTATCTATATATGAGAAGTTATACAGAAAAATAATTCCTAAAGGATTAACTGTGAAAAGCAAAACGTCAAAAAATTTAGTGGAAAATAAAGGGAAAATTTGTGTATGCTATCAAGATAGGAATTGATTTCCTACAAACTCATAAGAAAAGGACCAACAGGCCAGGCACGGTGGCTCACACCTGTAATCCCAGCACTTTGGGAGGCTGAGGCGGGCAGATCACCTGAGGCCAGGAGTTGGAGACCGGCCTGGATAACATGGTGAAACCCCATCTCTACTAAAAACACAAAAATTAGCCAGGTGTGGTGGTGGGTGCCTGTGATCCCAGCTACTTGGGAGGCTGAGGCACGAGAATCACTTGAACCCGGGAAGCGGAGGTTGCAGTGAGTCGAGATTGCGCCACTGCACTCCAGCCTAAGTGACAAAGCAAGACTTCATCTCAAAAAAACAAAAACAACAACAACAAAAAAAGGACCAGCAATACGGCAGAAGATAATGGTCCAAAGACTTGAACAGGCAAGTCATAGGAAACTGGCATGGCCCAATAAGCAAAGACCTTTAACTAAATTAAAAATAAAATTAAATTTAACATCTTTCATCTTGGAGTGTGTAAAGTGTAAAACTCTGACAATTCCAAGTGTTGGGAAAAATGAATACAGTAGTATTATATTACATTCAGAAAATAGTGAGCCCATATCCAGGAAAGTCGAAATTCACACATCTCTGACCCAGCCATTCTGCTTTCTGCTTAGCTTCTAGAGAAACTGTAGCACATGGGTGGAAGAAGACACATGTAAGATAATTTCAGCCACTCAGGAGGCTGATGTGGGAGAATTGCTTGAGCCCAGGAATTCAAGACCAGCCTGGGCAATAGTGTGAGACCCCATCTAAAAAAAAAAAAATGGAAAAGAAAAAAGAAGACGGGCACATGTGCATTGTCATATGGGAAACTTAGAAATGGTCTACCCACGGAGGCATAGATAAGTAAATTGTGCTATTTTTTAGTAGTGAATCCTATGCAATAGTTAAAATGAATAAATTCATGGGGTAAATTAGGGAAGAAAAGCAATGTGATGATAAAAAGCCAGTTGCTGGAAGATATATGGCATGTCACAATGTATATGTAAATTTTAACCATAAAATAATACGTTTGTATGTGGTAAAAGTGTAAATTCTGAATAGGAATATACTATCAACAATAGAATAGTGGTTTTCTCTGGAGTGAAAGGCAGAAAATAAGATTTTGGATGGGAACAAAGAAAATTTCAAGTGTATCTGTAATATCGATTTATTTAGAAACAAGGTCTCACTCTGTTGCCCAGGCTGGAGGGCAGTGGTATGATCATGGCTCACTGCAGCCTTGAACTCCTGGTCTCAAGCAGTCACCCTGAATCTGCCGCTCAAGTGGGACTACAGGTGTGTGCCACCACTCCCAGCTAATTTTTTAAAAATTGGATTTGTAGATCTCCATGATGTGTTTATTTCACATGGCATGCCTGTATCAAAACATCTCATGTTACCCCATAAAGATATGGTAAATTGAATTGTACTATGTACCCACAAAAATTTTTTAAAAATAATAAAAATAATTTAACAATTATTTTTGTAGAGACAGGGTTTTGCTGCGTTGCCCAGGTTGGTCTAAAACTCCTGGCCTGAAGTGATCCTCCCACTTCAGCCTCCCAAAGTATTGAAATTCCCGGCATAAGCCACCACACCTGGCCTGCAATATTTATGTTGTATTATTCTAAGTGAAGTAACTCAGGAATGGAAAACCAAACATCGTATGTTCTCACTGATATGTGGGAGCTAAGCTATGAGGATGCAAAGGCATAAGAATGATACAGTGGACTTTGGGGACTCGGGGGGAAGAGTGCGAAGGGGGCGAGGGATAAAAGACAACATATATGGTGCAGTGTATACTGCTTAGGTGATGGGCGCACCAGGATCTCACAAATCACCACTAAAGAACTTACTCATGTAACCAAATACCACCTGTACCCCAGTAACTTAAGGAAAAATAAAATAATTTAAAAAAATTAAAAAGAAACAGTTGGAGCAAATACCTAATGTTCCATTTGTATAATCTAGATGATGAGCTTCTGTTGTTATTTCACATGTTCTGTGATGATTTGGTCCAGAGGACAGCGATGGAGCTGGGTGGCTCAAGTTCATGTTTCATTTAAGGTAGGAGATAGAATGTTCCTTGTAAAGAGGTTGAGAATAAATGGAGGTTTATTTATACTGGAAGAGGGACCCAGGGGCCATATATCAGACTAGGGGAAAGAGGTAAAAAGACCCTCTACCACCAAGAAGAGAAGCCAGGAGGTGCCTCAACATGCATGCTGGAGACGTAGCGGGCCTTGAGTTCACTGGGATGACGTCAGGGCCTTGAACATTGCGGCGCCTTTAATACCCACTTTCCTGGAAAGCGTCATCCTCTGAGATATCAGCCATGTGAATGGGGTGGTGCTGAGAACAATTCTGCAGGGACAGAGGAGGCAAGTGTTTCCCCTTATCTGGGTAGCAGTGTAGACCACCAAGATGCATCTCTCAGTACTTTGAGACTTCCATGATAGTTCAGCTCATCAGTGCTTTGGTAATGAAATACCATGTTTTCTAATGGGCCCATTAGCATGACCAAGGTGATTTTGTAGGTCTCTAAGACAATGCACTTTTGGCAGGTGCTCTCGCTCTCTCTTACACACACACACATGCACACACACACTATATTACTATAGGAGGTAGAAAGAGCTAAAGACTGAGAAAAGCAAATCAGAATTATCTTTTTCTGATGCTGTTTTCATGGACAACAGCCCAAGGAGAAACATTATCAGAAGGGGAGGGTCCTCCTCCTCCTCCTCCTCCTCCTCTCTCTCTCTCTATATATATATCTCTATCTCTATCTCTATCTCTCTCTTGTCCATCTGATCCTCAGAACTTGGATACTGGAGCCAGGCCAAGATTTGAGTTCTAATTTTGCCACTATCTCTGTGTGTGTCTTTGGGCAGTTCAATTTACCGTCTTTTTATGTTTGATAAAATGACATCATAATTCAACTTACCTCTTGGGCAAGTAGCCTACAGTTGCTGGCTGTCTACCCTTTGATGTTGCTGTGATACAGTCTCTTCCAATGTCTAAGTCCCTATCTGTGGAGTCAGTTCAGATGCTTTTAAAAAGGGTCCTGGCCCTGTGGCCTTCACTTCTCCTCCACAGAAAGGAAGTTTGCAGTTAGTTCATCTAGCACCTGCTAGCATCCCGTTTGAGGGCAGCCATGCTGGAGAAGCAGTGGCAGGATGGGGAACAATCCTCTGTTCCTGAGGTGGAGGACACAGGAATGGGATGGTTTAGAAGGAGGAGTCCCCAGTTTCCCAACAGGGGAGCCGAAGGGACAAGAGGAGCTACCCCGAAAGAGCTTGAGGACAAGGAGTCGAGTTTCCTCCTCAAGGAAGCAGGCAGGTCACAGCATAGAGAAAAGTGGGCATTAGTCACCCGGTTATCAAGTCTCTGGAAAGGTGATTCCTCCAGGACTTCATCCGAGCCAAAGTTAGAGTAATTGTTGCAGCTTATTTACATACTCCTTCACCTGTGTCCCGAGGGGACACAGTGGCTCACAAGAGTAATCATTTCCAGGAGGACGGATGGACTGGAGGCTTTCCAGAGAGTGTGTCTCCAAGGTCCAAGCCCTGGGGTGAGCTATTCCAACCTCGCTGTTGGAATGTGACCCCCTCTCCTTTGCACAAACGCAGAAGTGCCCCTTGGGAGCTACAAGGATTATGGTGGAGTGAAGCTCCTAGTCTTTCTTCCAGTCTGCTGTTTAGACTACAGAGAAGAGTTATATTTCATCTTTTCTCTAGAATTTATTCTCAAGGAAGTTTAGGGTGGAAGTTATACTTGTCTACTTGTTTTTAATGTGGCATGCAGATAGTAGGCCTTTTTTTTTTTGTTTTTAGAGTGGAAAGGGCCTAGTGTTATCTGGCCCACTTCACATATGTGTCACCCTTATAGTAGCCCTGACTAATGGTCATTATCCTGTGGCTCAGCACCTCCGGTGGCAGAGGGTTCACTGCCTTTCTATAGAGGACCCTGAGAAGATGATGGGTTCTGGCTGGGTTTGAATTCTGGCTCTGCCACTAACTAGTTGTAACTGACCTCAGACATTTATGTATTTAATGCATTTGCTCATATCTAAAATGGAATAACCACAATAGCAACAGCAATATCTTCATTAAGTTGCTATAAGGATCAAATGAATGAATACCTGAAGGCTGTTTTTTGGTTTTGTTTTTTTTTGAGATGGAGTCTTGCTCTGTTGCCAGGTTGGAGGGCAGTGGCGCGATCTCGGCTCACTGCAACCTCTGTCTCCTGGGTTCAAGTGATTCTCCTGCCTCAGCCTCCTGAGTAGCTGGGACTACAGGTGCCCGCCACCACAGCCGGCTAATTTTTTGTATTTTTATTAGAGACGGGGTTTCACCGTGTTAGCCAGGACGGTCTCCATCTCCTGACCTCTTGATCCGCCCACCTCAGCCTCCCAAAGTGCTGGGATTACAGGCGTGAGTCACTGAGCCCGGCCCCTGATAGCTCTTAAAACAGCCTGGCACATAGTTAGCACTTAGGAAATGTTAACTGTTATTCCTTCCTCTATGCTTTGCTACTTCTATACGACGACCTATAATACTGCCTGCTTTACTACTAGTCATGTGATTGTTGTATTATACAACTCTACAAAATCTATCAGATTCTACACATGGTAGAGGTTGAACCACTGGCAGAATTGCATTTTCCTGCAAACATGTTTCTGCCTGCGCCTTCCTGTTTGCTCTGTCTTTACCTGCCCTATATTGAGACTACATTTCGGTTTCCTGGACATGGACTCTCAGGCACAGATAAGATGACATTCCAGATAGATACTTTCTTCTTAGTAATCACATTTTGCTCCTTGTGCCCTTCTCAGAACTTCTTACTGATTCCATGCTTTGTTTACTGGGTACGTATTAGGGGCCAAAACTGCACAATGGCATAGAATTATGAAGGAAGTGATGCTTTTCCCCCTTCATTTCTTCTAAAAAATGTGATACATGTGCAGAACTTGCAGGTCTCTTACATAGGTATATGTGTGTCATGGTGGTTTGCCTTTTTAAGAACTTTTAAGTTCAGGGGTACATGTGCAGGATGTGCAGGTTTGTTATGTAGGTAAACGTGTATCATGGGGGTTTGTTGTACCAATTATTTCATCACCCAGGTATTAAGCTTAGTATCCATTAGTTATTTTTCCTGATTCTCTCCCTCCTCCCATCCTCCACCATCTGATAGGCCCCAGTGTGTGTGTTGTTTCCCTCTATGTGTCCATCCGTTCTCATCATTTAGCTCCCACTTATAAGCGAGAATATGCAGTATTTGGTTTTCTGTTCTTGTGTTAGTTTGCTAAGGATAATGGCCTCCAAGCTCCATCCATGTCCCTGCAAAGGACATGATCTTGTTCTTTTTATAGCTGCAGAGTATTCCATGGCGTATATGTGACACATTTTCTTTACCCAGTCTATCATCGATGGGCATTTGGGTTGATTCATGTCTTTGCTGTTGCGAATGGTGCTGCAGTGAACATACACATGCATGTGTCTTTATAATAGAACAATTTCTGTCTCTTTGGTTGTATACCCAGTAATGGGGATTGCTGGGTTGAATGGTATTTCTGACTTTAGGTTTTTGAAGACTTGTCACACTGTCTTCCACAACGGTTGAACCACTTTACACACCCACCAACCCCTTTCTTACACCTTTTTTTTTTTTTTTAGTCAGCACACGCACATTTATTGATTAAGTTTGCCTTCTTATATGGGCATGATTTGTGGCACACCAAAACAATTACAATAGTAAGATCAAAGATCACTGATCACAGATCATCATAACAGATATGACAGCAATAAAAAAGGAGAGAATATTGTGATAATTACAAAATGTGATAGAGACACAAAGTGAGCACATGCGATTGGAAAAATGACACTGATACTCTTGCTCGATGCAGGGTTGCCATAAACCTTCAATTTGTTAGAAAACAGAAACCAAAAACCAAAAACACAACATATGTGAAGAGCAATAAAGTTAAGTACAATAAAACAAAGTATTCCTGTGATTAATGGTAAATATTAAAGGTTGACCCACAAATGTCTTTTTAATCTGCAGCATGTCTGATACTATCCACTACTGGTCTGATAAGGAGGAAGCCTGTGGTGTAAGAAGGTTATTGAGAATTTTCTCTCCATTTTTATACCATATACAAATATTAGCTCAAGATGGATTAAAAACTTAAAGGCAAAACCCAAAACTATAAAACCCTGGAAGACAACCTAGGCAATACCATTCAAGACATAGGCATGGGCAAAAATTTCATGACAGAGACACCAAAAGCAATGGCAACAAAAGCAAAAATTGACAAATGGGATCTAGTTAAACTAAAGAGCTTCTGCACAGCAAAAGAAACTATCAACGGAGTAAACTTTAAGACAACCGACAGAATGGGAGAAAAATGTTGCAAACTATGCATCCAATGAAGGTCTAATATCCAGCATCTATAAGGAACTTAGACAAGAAGAAAAGAAAAACCAACAACCTCACAAAAAGTGGGCAAATAACATGAACAGACACTTCCCAGAAGACATACATGTGGCCAACGAGCATACGAAAAACTCAACATCACTGATTATTAGAGAAATGCAAATCCAAACCACAATGAGAAATACCATCTCACAGCAGTTAAAATGGCTATTAATAAAAAGTCAAAAAATAACAGATGCTGGCAAGGTTGTGGAGAAAAAGAGATCTTTTAAAATCTAAGTATTTATCACTATAAATTTTCCTCTAAGTACTGCTTTCATTGCCTCCTATAAGTTTAGGTATGTTGTATTTTCATTTTTGTTTGTCTCAAGATATTGTCAGTTTTCTTTTTTATTTGACCCATAGGTGGTTCAAATGTGTGCTGTTAAATTTCCACATATTTTTTGATTTTCCAGTTTTCTTTCTGTGATTACTTTGTAGTTTTGTTTCCATTGTGGTTGGTAAATATACTTGGTATGATTTTAATCTCCTTAAAGGTGTTAAGACTTCTTTTGTGACCAAACATGTGATTTATCCTGGTGAACGTCCATGTGTGCTTGAGAGGAGTGTGTATTTTGCTGCGGTTGGGTGGAAAGTTCTGTATATGTCTCACAGTTCATTTGTTCTATAGTGTTATTCAAGTCCGCTGTTTCCTGTTGATTTTCTGTCTCATTTCCCTATTCATTATCAAAGTGGGATATTACCATATCTTACTGTTATATTGTTGCCTATTTCTCCCTTCAGTTCTGTCATTGTTTGTTTTATATATTAGGGTACTCCAATGCTAGGTGCATATATATTTAAAATTATTATATTTTCCTGGTGGATTGATCCTTTTATCATTATATAATGTCCTTCTTTCTGTGATAGTTTTGACGTAAAGTCTGTTTTGTCCAATAAAAGACTATATTTTTCCATCTCTTTACTTTAGCTTATATGTCCTTAAATCTAAAGTGAGTTTCTTCTAGACAGAATACACTTGGGTCTTGTTTTATTTTTCTTAATCCTTTCAGACACTATATGCCTTTCACCAGGGAGTTTAATGCATTTACATTTAAAGTAACTTTTGGTAAGTAAGAGCTTACTATTGTTAGTTTTGTTTTTTTTTTCTATTAGTTGTAGTTCTTCTGACTGTCTTTTCCTTTCTTACTGGCTTTCTTTTTTTAAAAAAAAAAGTTTAAAAATTGACAGATAAAACTGTACGTATTTATTGTGTATAAGATAATGTTTTGAAATATATACACACATCTTGGAATGACTAAATCTAGCTAATGAAAATATGCATAACATCACAAAGTTATTATTTTGTGGTGAGAACACTTCAAATCTACTTTGTTGGCATTTTTCAATAATACAGTATATCGTTAACTGTACTCATCATGTTGTACAATAGATCTCTTGAACTTATTTTCTTGTACTTAACTAAAATTTTGTATCCTTTGACCAACATCTCTCTGACACCTTCTTTTTGTTTTGATGATTTGTTTAGTGTTATGCTTTGATTCCTTTCTCTTTTTCTTTTGTAAAACTTCTATAGGATTTTTTTTGTGATTTTCTTGGGGTTTATATGTATCTTCTGGTTATGACCATCAATTTTAATCTGATGATTACATACGAAACCTTGCACTTTTTTTCCTCTCTCACATTTTGTTGTTTTCATACCTCACATGTATTCATATTGTGTATCTTTTAATATATTTTATTTATATTCTAATATTTTTCTCTTTTAACTTTTATATTAGTTTTAAAAGTGATTTATCTACAATTACAGTTATGCAGTAATGTCAGTAATGTATATTTGTCTTCATATTTATCTTTACCAATAAGTTTCTTACTTTCTTTTAAAAATTTTTTTGTTTTGTAAATTAAAAATTTTTTTTAGAGACAGGATCTCACTCTGTCACCCAGGCTGTAGTACAGTGGCATGAGCATAGCTCACTGTAGCCTCAAACTCCAGGGCTCAAGTAATCCTCCTGCCTCAGCCTCCTAAGTAACTAGGACTACAGGTATGTGACGCCATGCCTGGCTTTTTTTTTTTCACAAATTTTTGGTAGATATGGGGGTCTTGCTATGTTGACCAGGGTGATCTCAAATTCCTGGCCTCAAGCAGTTCTCACACCTCAGCCTCCCAAAGCACTGGGATTGTAGCTGTAAGCCACCACAACCAGTGGACTTTCTTATGCTATGGTGAGGTTTACTGACATTTGGTTCCAACTTGCAGAACTCCCTTCAGTGTTTCTGGTAATGCAGGTGCAGCGGTGATGAAGTTTTCCATTTTTTGTTTGTCTGGGAAAGTCTTTATCTCCTCTTCATTTTTGCTAAAAACTCACTGATAGTCTTATGAAACTTCCCTTGTGTATGACAAGTTGCTTTTTTATTTCTGCTTTCAAACTTGCCTCTTTGAATTTTGACAGTTTGATTACATTGTCTCTCAGTGTGGATTTTTGTTTTGTTTTGTTTTTGTTATTGTTGTTGTTGTTTTTTGAGATGGAGTCTCGCTCTGTCGCCCAGGCTGGAGTGCAGTGGTGTGATCTTGACTCACTGCAAGCTCCGCCTCCCAAGTTCACGCCATTCTGCCTCAGCCTCCTGAGTAGCTAGGACTACAGGTGCCCGTGACCACACCTGGCTAATTTTTTGTATTTTTAGTAGAGACGGGGTTTCACCGTGTTAGCCAGGCTGGTCTGGATCTCCTGACCTTGTGATCTGCCCGCCTCAGCATCCCAAAGTGCTGGGATTACAGGCGTGAGCCACCGCACCCGGCCTCAGTGTGGATTTTTAATTTTTGGTTCATCTTCTCTGGTGTCCTTTGGTTTCTTGGGTGTGAATATCCATTTCCTTCTACAGATTTGGGAAGCGTTCAGCCATTATTTCTTTGAATAAGCTTTCTGGTCTTGTCTTTTCTCCTTCAGGGACTCCATAACACAAATATTTGTCTGCTTGATGGTATCCCATAGAGCTTTCTTCACTCATTTCTATTCTTTTTTTTCTCCCTTTACTAAATTATTTCCAATGACCTGTCTTTGAATTCACTGACCCTTCAGTTGATCTAGTCTGCTGTTGAACCCTTCTGGTAAATTTTTCCTTTCAAGTATTGTGGTTTTCAGCAACATGATTCTTGTTTGGCACTTTAAAAATATTTTTTATCTGTCTGTTAAAATTATCACTTTGTTCATGCATTGTTCTCTTCAGTGAATATCTTTATGACAGTTATTTTGGTTCTCTATCAGGTAAATCACATTACTCTGTTTCATTACAATTGGTTTCTGGATATTTATCTTGCTCCTTTCTTTGGTACTTTTTTTTTCTTTTTTTTGGCATGGAGTCTCGCTCTGTCGCCCAGGCTGGAGTGCAGTGGCCTGATCTTGGTTCACTGCCAGCTCCACCTCCCAGGTTCATGCCATTCTCCTGCCTCAGCCTCCCAAGTAGCTGGGACTACAGGCGCCCGCCACCACACCTGGCCAATTTTTTGTATTTTTAGTAGAGACGGGGTTTTACCGTGTTAGCCAGGATGGCCTTGATCTCCTGACCTCATGATCCTCCTGCCTCAGCCTCCCAAAGTGCTAGGATTACAGGTGTGAGCCGCCGTGCCCAGCCACTTTGGTACAATTTAGCCTGGTTCTTCATTTTTTTTTTTTTGACCGTGTTGGTGTCTGTGCATTAGACAAAGCAGGAACTTCTCACAGTCTTCATGGGCTGCTTTTCATACACTTTGTGTTAAACCATGGGGTATGGAATCTATGGCATCTACCAGCCCACAGCACCCTCTCATTCTTTTTCTGGCAGCTAGATTGTCCCATCAGAGCTCCAAGTCAGGTCAGAGAGACACCAGCCCTCTAAAGAGTCTTCCAGACACATTGGGGCACTGGATGCACAAACCAACTTCCTCCGTTTAGTGGCAGAAGCTGGGAGCTACGGGGTCTCTTACTAATTATATGACACTGTGCTTGGTTAGGGAATTTGTTGGCTGGATGTTCTGAGTCTCTTAGGTGGCTTTTTGGTAAGTCTAGTTTAACATTTGCCTGAGATGTGGGAGCCTTTCAATTAGTTTTGGGATTTCTCACAAGGGAAATTTATCCATGAATTGTTTCTAAATGGATGTACTTGTGGGTGAGGGGAAGGTCTGCAACTTATTACTCTGCCACCTTGTTCTCAGTGTTAGTTTTTGTTAAGTTTTTCTCATAGTACTCTTGTTCACTATTTCCACTAAAGGCATTTTTTTTTTTCTTTTAGTGGCTCAACCTCAAAATCTTAAAGACATACCTTTACTTACTATTATCATAAAAATACTATATCCTATTTTTTCTATTTCCATATTACCACTCTATCTCACCCTTTGTCTATGTCTTCACTGTCTCATCCTAAGATTGTTTTAGGGGCTGCCTAATTTCACTCCTGATCTAACCACTACCTGCTCCTCCCTTATTGCCCTCTTACTAATCATTGTCTCAAGACGAACTCTCATGCTCTCGTTATTGCATCATGAAGAGCTTTTATTTAATCAATCTACCTATCTATACATCCGTCTATCATACTACCATGAATACCCAATGACCCATCACCCAACCTGAAAATTATGAGTTTAGTAGCAACCGAAATCTAACCATACGCTATCCCCATTTCCATCCCCTTAGTCTCTCCCCTTGAATTTTCTCTCATCCTGATCCTATGCTCATCATTTTCTTTTGTTTTTAGTGCACTTTAATGGCATTTATGTATATTCCAGGAAAGCACATTTTTAGTTGTTTCAGTTGTTCATAACCATATAAAAAGCATTAATAATAATCTTTTGGGATTTGCATTTTTCAAACTTAATGTCGTGTTGCTGAGATTTAACCAAATTGTAGCATGGCTCTGTGGGTCATTCAGAGAAAGGGATTTCTCTACTGGCTGGAGTGACTGACCCAGTTACCAAAGACATTGTGTTGCTGCTACACAATGAGAGGCAGAAGCTCATGATTACAATTATGTCTGGGGTGCTTCTTATTCTTTCCATACCCAGTAGCAAAGGTGAATATAAACTGCACCAACCAGAAGCATTTAAACAGTCGCTACTACTGCTGAGGCCTCAGATCCCCAGAAGTGAAAATTTGGCTTAGCTGACCAGATAAGGGCCAAGTGCCAGCTCTTTGGTACCTGTGTTCAGAGACCTGGGCATCAAATGTGTGGTCATCCCTCCTTGGAGGGTCTAGGTTTCGGTAACACCACATTTACACTTTTATTTTCCTAGTTCTGCCTGAGGTATCTTCTTCATGCCGTTGGTAATCTGTGGGTGGCATCAGCATCTGCCTTTTCACTATTTAGTCTCTTTCAGGATACACCTATGTAGCCAATTCTCTGTATCAAATCTTCTTGGTATAAATATACCAAGTGTGATTTCTGTTTCCTGCATGGATCTTAACTGACCTTAACAGACATACCAGCTCTATAATACATGAATGAATACTATGCAGTTTGATTATGTTTATTCATTATCAGATTGTATTTCAGAAACTAATATTTTTATACATTTTCCTGCTTTCCACCAATATTTTATATGATCAAAATACTAAAAAAGTAAGTGATATGTTAACACAGCTTTTGCCACCAGAGTACAAGTATAGTAGGGGTGGCTAGACATAAAAGTCCAGTAAAGATTACATTAGAATAGTAATTTGCAGCCTTCAAAGCATGAGCCATTTTGATATACACAAGCTGTGTCAGAGAGTCCGGCAGATATTATTTTCCTAACATGTAGATATGCAAGCTGAGACTCAGACTTTTTCAACTTTACTCTGCTAGTAAATTTCTGCTAACTGGGACATGAACCTGATATTCCCAGCCTGCCACTCTCTCAAAAAAGAGCAGGAATTTGTCCAAAGTGATAATTTCAATAAAATATCACATCCGTTACAAGATTTCTGGTAGAGGAATTTCTGGCTCAAAAGAACAAAAGGAGCTTCTTGAAGGGCAATGACATTGGAGCTGGATTTCCAAGTGTATCCCACTTGGTCATTACAGTATCCAGCGTGTAATCTCACAGCGGCTATGAGGAGATTCTCTTGCTGAAGAGTTTCTGTAGGGCTGCCTTCATATCCCAATTTCTCAGACTATAGATGAAAGGATTTAATGCTGGGGTCACTGCCACATACATCACAGTTATCACTGCATCTTTGGGGCTGTAACTGGTCAGAGGGCGGAAATACATGCCCATCGTTGTACCATAATATAAAAAAACAACTGTGAGGTGGGAGCCACAGGTGCAGAAGGCTTTGAATAGACTCTTGGTAGATGGAACTTGGAAGACTGTGGAAAAGACCTGAACATAGGAGACAATGATGCATAGTAATGGCAAAGAGAAAACGCCGACCCCTAGGTACATCATCTTCACATTAAAGTGGACGTCAGAACAGGACAACTTCAGCAAAGGCATAATGTCACAGTAGAAATTGGCTACTTCCTGGTTGCCACAGAAGGACAAACTAGCTGTGAGCAGAGTGTGGGGGAGAGCACTGGTGTTTCCAATCACCCAAGACCCAGCAATAAGCAGGATACAAGACCGTGGACTCATAATTGTTGTGTAATGAAGTGGGCAGCTGATGGCCACAGCTCGATCGTATGCCATTGCAGCCAAGGTATAGCTGTCTGCCTTGGCCAAGGCTATCATGAAATACATCTGCATTAGGCATCCCCCAAAGGAGATGAACTTGCTCCCCAAGAGATGGTTGGCCAGCACCTTAGGGATGGTTACGGATGAGAAGATGATGTCAACCAAGGAGAGGTTGGCAAGGAGAAAATACATGGGGTTGTGAAGGCGAATGTCAGCACAGATGGCCAAGATGATGAGCAGATTTCCAGTCAGTGTGATGGGGTAAATGCACAAAAAAATCACAAAGAAGACATTATTCTGTTCTTGCTGACTAGTAACTCCCAGGAGAATAAAATCCAGGTTAAAGGATTGATTTTCTTTCTTCATGGCTTCTTCAGCATGAAAGGGGAGAGGAACCCAGAATTATTAGCGCAGTTAGTGTGTGTTATAGTCTGCCTTATCTACCACTTAAACGTTTTTAATTATTTTACAAATTCACCTGCTGTCAAACTTATCCACCACTTTTCATTAGCCATGGCTATACCTGGTTTTTACAATCATAAATATAGCCAGCACTTTTGGGTAAAATCTCTGTTGGTCAATGGGACGAACTCTCATTGACCTCCTGGACACTCATGTCAAAGAAGTTAGCGATCTGTGAAGTAAAGATGGTTGTCCTTCCAAATGTAGCACCACCACCTTAATATCTATAATTTAATCACATAACAAAAACCTAATTTCATGTTTCATGTCTTAGATTTTTTTTTACTTTGTAGAGAAACAATAAATATGTGAAAATACAGTTATTCATCCACTTATTTGTTACACAAGACATAGCATCTGTTCTCAAGGACCTTATAATTGAATAGGAAAGCCAGACTCACACAATAATTTTATTACACATGGTAAGAAAAGGATAGCCTCTTGGAGTCCTTGTGAAAAAAACAAACAAAAAATCCTCCAGTGCAAAGGATGTATCATAGTAGGAATGCAGTGAACAATTTAAAGTTGTTCCTCCAACCAGTCTCGGGGTGAGCCCAGAGCCCAGGAAGTCAGAGGTGTCTACACTGCCATCAGATTCTAAAACAGAAAGACAACTGGCATTAGGTCCTAGAAAAACAAGCTCAGTGAACTTACTCCACAGGTGTTCGATTTTCAAAGATATTCCCTATCTTTTTGACAGCTTTTCTCTCTTTTCAAAGCCCATAACTATACATAATCACAGTGCTTTTTCCACTGGCCTTTGTCTTGGTTCATTTTGTGTTGCTATAACAGAATACTTGAGACTGGGGAATTTATAAGAAAAGAGGTTGAATTGTCTCATGGATCTGTAGGCTGGGACATTCAAGAGCGTGGCCCTGGCTTCTGGCAAGGGCTTTCTTGCTGCATCATAACCTGTCAGAGAAGGTCAACAGGGAAGTGGATACAGGGGAAGAGAGAAAACCCGAGAAGTATACTGGTTTTATCACAACCCACTCCTGTAGGAACATTCCCTTAAGATTAATCCAGTCTTGAGAGAATGAGAACACACTTACTACCATGAGAACAGCACCAGACCACTCATGAGGGATCCACCCCCTTGACTCAAACGCTTCCCACTAGGCTTTACCTCCCAACACCTCCCACACTGGGGATCACATTTCAACATGAGTTTTGGTGAGGGCAAACTCAATCCATAGCAGTCTTCTCTTCCTTGTCTTCCTTATTTCTTTTTGTAGTAATCCAAGTCCACAGTGGATTCAACTATTCTTTAGTAAACTGTCATGTCTGTATCTGTGGTCTCGATTTCTTTTTCCCATATTTCCATATTCAGTCATCCTGCTAACATGTCTGACCAAACCCCACACTCTGCACTTAAAACCTAAGTAGTTTGCAAGATGTTTCTTTTCTTTTTTTTTTTTTTTTTTTGAGACAGAGTCTCACTCTGTTGCCCAGGCTGGAGTGCAGTGGCGAGATCTCAGCTCACTGCAAGCTCCACCTCCTGGGTTCACGCCATTCTCCTGCCTCAGCCTCCCGAGTAGCTGGGACTACAGGCACGCGCCACCATGCCTGGCTAATTTTTTGTGTTTTTAGTAGAGACGGGGTTTCACGTGTTAGCCAGGATGGTCTCGATCTCCTGACCTTGTGACCTGCCCACCTCGGCCTCCCAAAGTGCTGGGATTACAGGTGCAAGATGTTTTTGAAGAGGAAAATCATAACTTGTTTATGTTTATGTCTTCCAAATTGATTTTTGTAAAATATCATTCATTTTGTGCACCAATTAATTTGCACTCAATTATTGAGTTGAACCCAGGTTTATTTCATGGTTCCCCACATGTGGGATTCTCACAGAAACACTCATCCAGTTTATCTTCTGCCTGTACGTCTGACCTTGTTGAATCTTCATTTGAAAAAATTGTTATATAACTCAACTTTTCTCTTTACTTACCTAAGCTAAATTACCCTTTACTAATTTAGCTTAGACCATCATCATTTTCAACTTAAGTATTGTAGTAGTCCCTTAACTGCTTCACTACAGTTCCCTCTTCTTTGATCCATCTTGCATTTTGAGATCATACTAATTGTCGTAGAGACTACCAGCTGCTCACCTAAATCTGCGTTGCTGTCTTCCTCGTGGACACTCTATTAGACTACATTTCCCAGCCTCCCTTGCAATGAGGTGTGGTAAGGTAACTTCATTTTACCAACTGAGTTCTACTCATTGAGCTCCTCCATACCCTTTTTCTCCTTGTCCCAACTGAATGCAAATGGTGAAGAGGCTGAATGTGAT
Source organism: Homo sapiens (assembly GCF_000001405.40). NCBI lineage: Eukaryota > Metazoa > Chordata > Mammalia > Primates > Hominidae > Homo > Homo sapiens. Next base: position 3,195,135 of record NC_000017.11, on the reverse strand, counting down.
GATGGAGTTGCATGGTGAAATGAGCCTATGTCCCTAGCTCTCCATATCCAGCAGAGCCACTCATGACCAAGAGGGCCCACTATGACCATTAGAGAAAAAGAAATTCTTATTTGTTTAAACAATTACTTTTATTTTTTTAAAACACTTTTTTTTTTTTGAGATGGAGTCTTGCTCTGTCACCAGGCTGGAGTGCAGTGGTGCCATCTTGGCTCACTGCAACCTCCACCTCCCAGGTTCAAGTGGTTCTCCTGCCTCAGCCTCCCGAGTAGCTGAGACTACAGGCCTCTGCCACCACACCCATCTAATTTTTGTATTTTTAGTGGAGACAGGGTTTCACCATATTGGCCCGGCTGGTCTCGAACTCCTGACCTTGTGATCCACCTGCCTCGACCTCCCAAAGTGCTGAGATTACAGGTATGAGCCACTATGCCCAGCCTAAACATTTTCTGATGTATTTGTTACTGTAGCCCAATATATCCTAACTTTTTTTCTTAAAACACTTTGCTGAATAGTTAATCCGATCTATAATTAATTCAATCATCAATTCCTGGTGTCTCATATAGTATACATGTGAAGTACATGCTAAGCCCTGGGTATGCAGGTCTAATTATCTTATCCCCAAACATGATGTGTTCTTTCATCTTTGCACCTAAAGTCACTTGGCTTTCTGTCTTGAAATGCCCTTTCTCATCTTCACACAGAATCATAATACCTCAGGTTTCAAAGGATTCAGTAATTTTGGAGGGCTCAGAGACATTATTAGCTCCTATGATACGGAAGTGTAAGATTTCAGACAGAGGAGAACTCTGGGCAACATGGCAAAGCAAACTCATGTTGACAGGTCCTGTTTCTATTAAAACATATTCTAGATAAATTAAAATTTTTTTGTAAATGTAGCTAAGCCCAAGAGAAAACTCAGAGCAGGGGTTTTAGGCTATAACTGATGCTGTGGTGGTCCTTTGGGGTTTTGAACCAGGAATTTGGCTCTCAGGGATGGAGTCTGTGCTATTATTTCCCTTTTGGTACTGGAGATGCAGTCACAGGTCTGCAGAAGCAGGAAGCTTAACTTGAGTCGTCTGCTTAAAATACTTAAAATACTGTCCTATATTTGAAAGGATCATTGTAAGAAACTTTTGCCCCATGAGAATTGGAAAGGAAATAGAGAAAATTCACAGAAAATGTGGTTGTCTAGAAATAAAATCAAAGAGAATCAATAGATACACTAAGAGATTTCAGAAAGCTTGTTAGATATAAATCATTTAAAATAATCAATGCTGTTTTTGTATTTAGGTAAAAATAACTTAGAAAATATAATTTGAAAAAGATCCCCATTCAGAAAGCAACAGAAATTTTAGGGAATCTAGGATGATTCTAACAAAAAAAGCCAAGACTGTTATCAAATATTACAAACCTTTACTTAAGAAGAAAAAAAGAATATCTAAAAACGTGGAGATGAAAGCACCGGTGATAGAAAAACTCAATGTGGTAAAAATGTCAATTCTTCCCAAGTTAATCTATAAATTTGGTGCAATCTAATCAACATACCACAGGTTTATTTTAAACATGGAACTTACCAAACTATCCTAAAATTGACGTAGACAAATAAAGAGCCAAGAAGTCTAAGTCCATTTGAGGAAAAGCATGAGAAAAAAATTACTTTTTCAGGTATTAAAATGAATTACTATGTTCTCAGAAATAAGCTCTAGTATTTGATAGTACAGTAGGGAAATTAGAGTTAACAATAATATATTATTTCAAAATAGCTAGACGAGAAGAATATGATGTTCCCAACACAAAGAAATGCCAAATGTTTGAGACAATGGATATCTCAGTTACCCCAATTAGAGCATTACACATGGTATACAGGTATCAAAATATCACATGTACCCCCCCAAATATATACGACTATTATATATCAATTAAAAAAAGGGAATGAGTTAAAAATGCAAAAAAATAAGGTGTACATATTCCTTAAAAAATGAATTACTGTGGTAGTTGAAGCATTTGAGTAGTTCTGGTGTAGGGACTGAAAATTAAATCTATGTAACAGACTGGAGAGCTCAGAACAGACCAAGCATTGCACCAAGCAATTTATTAGACATTGGTGTATGACATGAGTTGGTTTATAATACTGTAGGCAGAGAAAGGATGGACTGACTTTAGCTAAGAGTGCTGGAACAATGGGATACCCATTTATTTAAAAAGTGCAGAAAAATAATTCCCAAGGGATTAATTGTAAGAGCAAAGCTTCCAAATTTTAGAAGAAAATAGAGAAAATATATTTGTGATATAATTTATTTCTTAAACCACATAAAACATGAAAGAGAATATTGTAAAATTTGACTACATTAAAAATGGAAAACATTTGGTAAAAAACATACCGTAAGGAGGGGGAAAGATGAGCCATGAACTGAAAGAGGTATTTGCAGAACACATAATCGATAAGGAATTCATATTCAGAATACGTAGGAGTCCTATACACTAATAAGATAATTTTTAAAATTTTTGTAGAGACAGGGTCTCGCTATGTTCCCCAACCTGATCTTGAACTCCTGGCCTCAAGTGACTCTCCCATCCCAGCCTCTCAAAGAGTTAGGACTACAGGTATGAGCCAGCATGTCTGACCTCATTTTATAAAAAATAATGTGATTGAAGAAAGAAGTTACTGAAAGATATATACTATATCATATAATATGTGTAAATTTTAATGGATAAAATAATACATGTGTATGTAGTCAAAGTATAAATCCTGACTGGGAGCGTACTACCAACTCTAGAATTGCAGTTATGTCTGGAGGTAAAGGGGAAAAAATTAGATTTTGGATGGAAAAAAAGGGAGTCTCAAAAGTATTTGTAGTATTTATTTATTTAAAAAACTTAGAATAACTAAGACCACATTCTTATATTTGTTAAATCTAGATAATAAATTTTTGTTATATTATTCTCTTTGTTTTGCTGATGTTTTAATCATACTATTATAATAAACACATTTAATAATTTAAGGTAAAGATTTCACATATTTGATAATAATTGGATCAAAAGTGTGTCCATGGCACTGGGAAAAGATTGAGAATAAATGGGGAGAAAAAATGTATTTACATGCTCAGCCAGGCTTATTAGTAGAGAAATTTGCTTACTGGCCCCAAAATTACATTTAGAAAATGCAAGTGATGGTGTCTGTCTCTTTAAAACAATTCCTTGTTTCCTCATCACCTAATGGATGAGGTCTCAGTGCCTTATTGTGCCTTACAGTCCTGGAAGAGGGGTCTTGATTCAGACCCCAGGAGAGGATTCTTGGATCTCACACAGGATGGAATTCAAGATGAATCGCAGAGTGCAGTCAGAAGCAGTAGTCTCTAGAAAGCTACTCTCTTACAGGGTAGGGCACCCTCAGAAACTAAGCAGAGGAATGCACTGGCTTTGTGTCAAGTTTTTATATAGGGATCTTGTTTATGTCAAGACTAAACTAAGCTGTAACAATGTGCGGGTTGGCTGATGGCATGACAAAATTTATTATTTTATTGATTTAAAGAAAACTATTCTTGATATTCTGCTGTGTGAGTACATCGAAGCATAATTTTCTTTTTTTTCACCATTCACATTTATTAAAATTAAAACTTCCTCATATATTGAGCAAAAGTGTGGGTGTATTCTCATACATTGTGATGAGGGTATAATTAGAGATTCAGAGGACGTTCTCCTTAGCATCCATTTTCAAAAATGTACATGCCCTACAACACAAAAGGTCTTAAATATATATTGTACAGAACACTAAAAACCATTCTGAGACATATATAGAGTGATATGGTTTGGCTTACAATTTTCTTGAAAGCATGTCTTGTTATAGGTATTGGGACAGCTGGACTTTTTGCTGTTGTAGGAATGTGTCCTTACAGGTATCTTTAGGCTGTTTTCTCACCTATAAACGTCTTATGACCGTGGGTTGTGACTGGCAGGGAATGTGCCTTGTTAGTTTCAAGATGGAGCTGTACTTAAAATGGCGTTACTCTGTCTCTCCCAGGCTCCTGCTTCCCTAGCATTATCATTAAGAAAAACTCAAGGACAAAGTGTTCAGTAATGAGGGTAATTTTAAATAGAAATATGTTATATATCTTTTTTTTTTTTTTTGAGACGGAGTCTCACTCTGTCACCAGGCTGGAGTGCAGTGGCACGATCTCAGCTCACTGCAACCTCTGCCTCCCGGGTTCAAGCGATTCTCCTGCCTCAGCCTCCCGAGTAGCTGAGACTACAGGTGCCCGCCACCACGCCCGGCTAATTTTTTGTATTTTTAGTAGAGACGGGGTTTCACCATGTTGGCCAGGATGGTCTTGATCTCTTGACCTCATGATCCGCCCACCTCAGCCTTCCAAAGTGCTGGGATTACAGGCCTGAGCCACCATGTCTGGCCAGAAATGTGTTATATATCTTTATCAGGAGCCGAGGGTACAGGGAAGGGATTAGGAAGAATTCAGTCAGGAAAAGAAATTTGGGGTTAAATTATGAAGGGTTTTGACTAACACAAGGAATTTGTACTGTCTTCATTAGGTCCCTTTGGTTTAATGTAAACATAGGTATGGGGCCCATACATTAGATGCCGGATCAATAGGGCAACATTTTGGAATGACAATCTGGTGCAAGGACAACCAGAAGCCAATAAAATAAAATAAAAAAATTAAAGACTGTAAGAGAAATAGCACCAGAAAAGGAGAAGAGGTTGATAGAATTAATCACTGTGGGATCTAAAGCAACCCAACACCAGAGGAAAGTTTACTGGGCACATGGGCTGGATGACAGACATCTGCAGGGCTGGATGTTAATGACAGAGCAGGAGCACCCTCATCTCGGACAAACTCCACCACTTTAAGTTTCAGCTCTCTTTCTAGCCTCATGCATTTCAAAGAAATCACTTCTCTTCTAACAACAAGCAGCCAGAAAGAGCAGACAGTGAAACACAGATAAGACAGCTTGGGCACAGAGGGAGGCGGGGGAAAAGTCTGTTGGGTAACTGCCAAACTTCACCCTCATACAATGGGCCCCAGTAAAACAGTGGGCCTTAATAACCACATTCCTTTCCCTTCAGGTGCACTAACGGAAGCTAAAAGCAGACTCGGGGGGTATCCCTGCAGCTGCAGGAAGATGTATGGGAACAGGCACACAACTCTCCCTCCTAGATAAGCACAACAAGGAGACACAGAAGCAGTCCAAGCCTCTGATAAACTCTCCTGCCCTGAATCCTTAAAATTTCTTAGTCTGTAAGACAGAGTGCCTCTAACCTAACTCAGCCAGAAGCCCCCCTCAGGTTTATTTTCCAAAATAAACATCATCCCAGAGGAAAGGATGGGCAAGAGGATTTCCTGGAGAGTATGTCTCCAAGGTCCAAACTATGGGCCAAGCTAGTTCATCCTACTTATTGGAATGCAGACCCCTCTTCTCTGCTGTCTAGCACAAACTTGGAACCATGCCTTGGGAGCTACAAGGACTAGAGTACAATTGAGTGGTTGGTCTTTCTTCTAGCTCATGCTCAATCCTTCCTGGTGTTTAGGATGCAAAGAAGAATTATATTTTCTCTTTTCTCTAGGATTTGACTTGAGAAGGGTTAGAGTAAGAGTCATACTTTTAAAATCAAGCATACTAAAGGTAGGTATTTTAATTTTTTAGAGTTTCAGAGATGAAAAGGGCCTATATGTCTAGTCCACTTCACCTGCCTGCCACTTTTATAATAGCTTTAATTAACGGTCATGATACTATGACTTAACACCTCCACTGGCAGAGAAGTTACTATGTTTTTGTTTAGGGCAATGATGAACGCTATAAGCCCTGGCTAGTTTTCAATCCTGGCTCTGCGCATATCACCTGAAACTGACCTTGGACAGTTATTAACTTATATACTCATCTGCAAAATAGAAATAATAATAATAACATCCTCATGAAGTTATTATGAGCACCAAATTAATACCTGAAAAGTTTTTAAAACTGAGCCTGGCCCACAGTTAGCATTTAGTAAACATTATCTATTATTTACTAACACCTAAACTAGTTATGTAATTGTTGGACAACTCTCTAAAATCTTCTAGGAGATTCTGCAAACGCTGGATGTTGCAACAACTTTTGTTCAATTGCATTTTCTTCTAGATATGTTTCAGGTCACACCATCCTGTTTGCTCTATTTTTACTTGCCCTGTGTTCAGCTCATGCTGTAGTTTCTAGGACACAGTTTCCAAAAACACAGATATGACATCCCACAATAAATGTTTTCTTCCTAGTAACAACATTTCACTATTGAGGTCCTTCTCAGAATGTCTTACTACTTCCAGGTTTTGTTGACTGGGTACTCATTAGGCACAAGGAGTTGCACACGGGCATAGAAAAGAACTATAAAGAGGCTGGGTGCGGTGGCTCACACCTGTAATCCCAGCACTTTGGGAGGCCAAGGCAGGTGGATCACGAGGTCAGGAGATTGAGACCATCCTGGCTAACATGGTGAAACCCCATCTCTACTAAAAATACAAAAAATTAGCTGGGCGTGGTGGTGGGCGCCTGTAGTCCCTGCTACTCGGGAGGCTGAGGTAGGAGAATAGCGTGAACCCAGGAGGCAGAGCTTGCAGTGAGCCAAAATCACGCCACTGCACTCCAGCCTGGGTGACAGAGCGAGACTGTCTCAAAAAGAACCAAAGAACCATAAAGAAAATAATGCTTTAACTTTCAAACATTTGCACATATTTTCTGTGGGCTGTGACTGCAGATTTCATTAACTTATGAAGGAAATCACTATATTCCACTTATCCCCCAAAGAGAAAAACCTGCAGATAAGAGAGAGTACATTTGTTCGTTGGCAAATTCCAGGTTTGGTTAAATCCCTTCTTTTTTACAGACATTTTGTATAAAAGGAATGATCAATGAAAAATATTTGCAGAATAAAAAACAGCAATCAACATTTTAGATACTTGGGACAAAGTTTTATACTTGAACACAATTTAAGAATGAACCAAAAATTTTTAAATTATTTTTCTTCTTCTTAAGACATTAAAACTGAGAGACTGTATAAAAAAAAAAAAGAAACAAACTCAATGAAAATAAAGTTGACCAGAAAACGGCAAACAGAAATAAAAAAGGGACAGAAAAAGATTTTAATTGGCATTTTAGCCAAATTGTCATTTCAGAAAATAAATTAATAACATGTAGAACTGACTTCAGAAGTCTTTCCTTAAAGAAGATTAAAAAGATAAAGAGTTTAAAACAATAAGGAAAGAAAATGAAAAACATTGGAGAAAATGTGGATCTCTCACTTCGGAGTAATAGTTTCATAAAAAGAAAGCAGAACAAATAGAACAAAAGCAACAATTAAAGTTACAGGCCAGGCACGGTGGCTCATGCCTGTAATCCTAGCACTTTGGGAGGCTGAGGCAGGTAGATCACCTGAGGTCAGGAGTTCGAGACCAACCTGGCCAACATGGCAAAACCCTGTCTCTATTAAAAATACTAAAATTATTCTGGCGTGGTGGCACACACCTGTAGTCCCAGCTACTCCAGAAGCTGAGGCAGGAGAATCACTTGAACCCAGAAGGCGGAGGTTGCAGTGAGCCGAGATCACAACCACTGCACTCCAGCCTGGGCTACAGAGCCAGACTCTGTCTCAAAAAAAAAAAAAAAAAAAAGTTACAAAAAAGGAAATGTTTTAGAAAATCGAAAACCTCAGATCACAAATGGAAAGCCTCACTGTAGTTTTGAGACTATTAATGAAATTATCCATAGATGTATCTTAGTAATATTTTGGTATTTTAGTGACAGGAAATTTTTTTTTTAGATCCTCAGGGATCTAGAACTAGAAATACCATTTGACCCAGCCGTCCCATTACTGGGTATATACCCAAAGGATTATAAATCCTTTGTGGGGTGGGGGGAGCGGGGAGGGATGGCATTAGGAGATATACCTAATGTAAATGACGAGTTAATGGGTGCAGCACACCAACATGGCACATGTATACATATGTAACAACATACGTTGTGCACATGTACCCTAAAACTGAAAGTATAATAAGAAAATAGTTGAAAGTTTAATGCCAGGGAATAAAGGATTACCTAAAGAGAAATAAAAGGTCAAATTAGCTTTAGACTTCTCCCTACAAAACATCAATGCAAGAAAACACTGAAGAATTATTAGAGTTTTAAGAGGAAAATTTCACAACTCAAAGTATACCCAGCTAGGTTATTTCTATTGTGGATATATTTACAACATGTGGTGAAAATATCCTATTAAAATAAAATCTTATTTGCACAAATTAAATTTTTTTTTGGAATAACCTGTATTTTAAATCTTTGAATAACTTAACAAAGACCATGAATCTGAAGACTGGGAAGAAATGCAAGGAGCAAAATGTATTCTTTTTTTAATTGTTACTTTTTATTTTAAGTTCTTGGATACATGTGCAGAACGTGCAGGTTTGTTCCATAGGTATACATGTGCCATGGTGGTTTGCTGTACCTATCAACCCATCATCTAGGTTTTAAACCCCGCATGCATATTAGGTATTTGTCCTAATAGGAGCAAAATATATTCCAATTCTTGTGACTCAGGTTATTGTTTGGTTCTTGAGTTTATAAATAGAGAAAAAAAAGTTTAAATATGTTAAGCCTTCTAGTTAACTAGATATCCACTAGTAGAATAAAAAAGTCATTGTATCACATCAGCTGTGGCCTATATGATCACAGGAATAGATACTTGGAATACAGTTTTTTACTTGAACAGAATTTAAGAATTAGCAAAATTTTTTAAAAAAAATTATTTTTCAGCTGGTCATGTTGGCTTATGCCTATAATCCCAGCACTTTGGGAGGCCAAGGCGGGAGGATCATGAGGTCAGGAGTTTGAGACAAGCCTGGCCAACATAGTGAAACCCCATCTCTACTAAAAATATAAAAAATCAGCCAGGTGTGGTGGCGTGCACCTGTAATTCCAGCTACACGGAAGGCTGAGGCGGGAGAATCTCTTGAACACTGGAGGCGGAGGTTGCAGTGAGCCAAGATCACGCCATTGCCCTCCAGCCTGGCTGACAAGAATAAAGCTCTGTCTCAAAAAATATATATTTTTTACGTTCTTAAGACATTAAAACTGAGAGACAGTGTAAAAAAGAAACAAACTTAATGAAAATAAAGTCATTGAAAATATGATGTCATAGAGTGAGCAGTAAACTCATATTTTAGTTTAAAGAAGTCCACTGGAGTCAGACATTACATTTATCTTTAAGCAGAAATAGAAAATGGGTGAAATTCCAAGTCTCTAGCAACTAAAAAAACAAAAAACAAACAAAAAAAGCAGGTAGTACGAATAGTTCCAGAAATCAGAGGTGCAAATTTGAAATCATTATTTAGTCAATTAACTAATTAATTGAGGCCATCAGGTTAACATGCCTGAAAGACACAAGATTAAAGATCACATTCCATAAGATATAAAAATAATATTTGAAAATTAAAGTGTCTTGAAAAAAACTTCTATTCGAGGATATATTTATTTTGAACTAAAAACCGAATAGGATGCTTACAGTTGAAAAATTTTATATGAGCCTTTATACTAGAAAAAGAGAGTGAGATAATTTTGTGCCTTATTTTCAGTTTAAGATCTTGTCAGAGTAGTATCTCTGAACCAGATTTTCAGTTCGGGATGTTGTCAGCCCTCTGCAGCTATAAAGAATTCGCTATCCTTATTTTTATTTTCCATTGTCATTTTTGTTCACAGGGAAAGCATGTTGGCTCTCCAGAGAAATGGTAATATATATACACACACATACACACACAAATCTGAAATAGAACCAATTTTATTTATATAATATATAAAATTATATATACTTATGTAAAACACATAGTATAATATATAGAGAAAAGGAACCAATTATATATCTGTTTATTCATTTATTGTAAGGAAGTAACATGCTGTTCATCTCTGAAGAGTCTGGGTTAGGTAAGAAAGTAAAGATCCAAGCCTCTGGTAAGCGAATATGAAATCTTGATCCTTGTACTGTTTGGAAAGAAAGATGACATAAGTGTAAACGTCTCTCCAAGCTGAAGTCAAGATATTCCAAAGACAGTCTGTGGGCATCACCAGATGAAGGGTACAGAAAATAGGTAATATGGGAGTGAAGCCACAGAAGGATCCCTGCAGGCTGGTGTGGCCAGGGCCAGCTTCACAAACAAGGGGACCTGGAGTGATTCAGAGCCAGCCCCACTGGGCTAAAGGACCAACTCGTGAAAGAAGGGTTTCCCTTCACAGAGACAATCTCAGGATGAGCCTTTTAGGATGGCTGTGTATTTCATACTTTCATCCCAGCTGGGAGTCTCAGAAAGTTGGGCACTCTAAAAAAAAAACAAGGCCGGGGGGGTTGTGCTTTGACTGAGAAATACTTTTCTAGCAGACTGGTCCTTGACATTCAAGGGTTACAGGTTTGGGTGGGAATGATCTCTTGCTTTGCATCAAGGCAAGCCTACCGTTGACCCATTCCACTGTGTTGCAGACAGTACAGGGTCCTAGACTTCTTGGAATATATGGTCAGTGGCTAGCACTCACCCTGCCACACATGCTCACGAATCCAGGGAAACTAGCTTTTTGTTTACTTCCCTGTGCCTCGGTTTTCTAATTGTAGAATGAAAAGGTTGAATTATACATCTTCCAGTGTTCATGTCTTCATTGACTCCAGCATCCAGTATTCCTTGAATATCTCTTTTGTGCCATGAGTTATTTTAGGTACTGAGGAATCACACGCAGAACAAAACATATAGGGGTCCTGACTTATTGAAGCTTTTATCTGGTGATAGATGTAATCAAATAAATATTGGAAATTCTAGTGGTGTTAAAATAGGGGGATATTAGAAATATCAGAATAGCCAGGAAGGTGCAGAAAGTCCTCTTTGGGGTGCTCATGTTGTGACCTAAGGGATGAATAGAAGTTAAATGAAGAGATAGGGAGTGGATGGTGGGAGAGAAGAGAATGTTTCAGGCAGAAGAAAGAGTATGTGAGAACCTCCAGACACGAAGTCTAGGGGTGGGGTTGAGGGGAGTCTGTGTTTTCAAGGCACTGATGGAAGGAACTCAGGAGACACACGAGAACACGAGAAGATCTCTGGGACCATCAGTGGGAGAGACCCCAATCAGAATGAACAATAGCTGGCTAGGAGGAACTACTCAGGTGCAAATGTAAGCTCTTGATTGCCATTCATTCCTAAGCACACCATACCGAAGAATAGCATTTGGAGTCAAAAGAATCACGATCAGATCCAGATTCTGCTACTTATCAGGGTATGACTTGGGGGCAACTCACTCAGTTTCATTTATCTATTTATTTTTCATACATTATAATTGCATATATTTATGGGAAGCATGTGATATTCTGATACATGCGTACTATATATAATCAAATCAAGGTATTTGGAATATCCATCATCTCAAACATTTATCATATTTTTATGTTGAGAGCATTCTAGATCTTCTAGGTATTCTGAGATATAGAAAATGTTATTAACTATAGCCACCCTGCTGAGCTATCAAACACCACAACTTATTCCTTCTAACTGTATTTTTGTACCCATTAAGCAAACTCTCTTCATTCCCTCCTTCTCCCTACCTTTTGTAGCCTCTGTTAATCATCATTCTACTCTTTACCTTCATGAGATCAATTTTTTTAGCTCCCATGCATGAGTGAGAACATGCAATATTTGTCTTTCTGAGCTTGGCTTATTTCACTTAATATGATGTCTCTCAGGTTCATCCATGTTGCTGCCAATGACCGAATCTCATTCTTTTTTATGGCTGCATAATATTCCATTGTGTATACCACATTTTCTTTATCCAGTTATCCATTGATGGACACTTCGGGTGATTCCATATCTTGGCTATTGTGAATAATGCTATAACAAGTATAGCAGAGCAGATAGATCTTCTATGTACTTCTATATATTCCTCTCTTTTGGACATATATTCAGCAGTGAGATTGCTGGATCATATGGTAGATTTATTTTTAGTTTTTTGTCACTTAACCTCTTTGAGCCTCAGTTTCCTTATATAGTACAGGTTGATAGCAACGTCTACCTTCAGTGACTCTTGAAGGGATTTAGGAAGTTCTCAGCAGCCTCAGCAGGGAGGCTTTGGCAGGAACACGCTGTGCTCAGTGTTACTTTACAGGGAATGTTCCCATACTTGAGGTGGGTGAGGTTCTTGCTCAGTCTGTACTCTGAGGTCTGACAGAGCCAGTCATCCTGTCCAGTGCCTGAGTCCTTAGTCCTGTGGAGGGAACATGGCCCTTAGAGGTCACTGGCATCCTGGTGTTTCTGTCCACCCCCTGAGACCCAAGCCCTCCTATCCTGGCTGTTTATACTGTTGTTCATCCCCATCCCCCCCACTCTCTCTTCTCCTGTCTTGTGCTGGCTGCACATAGAGCACAGCCCATTCTATGTAGCTCCTCTCCCCCTGTACCACCTCTGGATGGACTCACCCCAGACCCTGAGCTTCCATGGAGTCCCCACCACTGACAGGAGTCTGTCACTTTCAGGACAACTTACTTGTAACTCCTCAACGTTTTCCCTTACTTCTTTTTTTTTTTTTTTAATTATACTTTAAGTTTTAGGGTACATGTGCACATTGTGCAGGTTAGTTACATACATATACATGTGCCGTGCTGGTGCACTGCACCCACTAACTCATCATCTAGCATTAGGTATATCTCCCAATGCTATCCCTCCCCCCTCCCCCCACCCCACCACAGTTGCCAGAGTGTGATATTCCCCTTCCTGTGTCCATGTGATCTCATTGTTCAATTCCCACCTATGAGTGAGAATATGCGGTGTTTGGTTTTTTGTTCTTGCAATAGTTTACTGAGAATAATGATTTCCAATTTCATCCATGTCCCTACAAAGGACATGAACTCATCATTTTTTATGGCTGCATACTATTCCATGGTGTATATGTGCCACATTTTCTTAATCCAGTCTATCATTGTTGGACATTTGGGTTGGTTCCAAGTCTTTGCTATCGTGAATAATGCCGCAATAAACATACGTGTGCATGTGTCTTTATAGCAGCATGATTTACAGTCATTTGGGTATATACCCAGTAATGGGATGGCTGGGTCAAATGGTATTTCTAGTTCTAGATCCCTGAGGAATCGCCACACTGACTTCCACAATGGTTGAACTAGTTTACAGTCCCACCAACAGTGTAAAAGTGTTCCTGTTTCTCCACATCCTCTCCAGCACCTGTTGTTTCCTGACTTTTTAATGATTGCCATTCTAACTGGTGTGAGATGGTATCTCATTGTGGTTTTGATTTGCATTTCTCTGATGGCCAGTGATGATGAGCATTTTTTCATGTGTTTTTTGGCTGCATAAATGTCTTCTTTTGAGAAGTGTCTGTTCATGTCCTTCGCCCACTTTTTGATGGGGTTGTTTGTTTTTTTCTTGTAAATTAGTTTGAGTTCATTGTAGATTCTGGATATTAGCCCTTTGTCAGATGAGTAGGTTGCGAAAATTTTCTCCCATTTTGTAGGTTGCCTGTTCACTCTGATGGTAGTTTCTTTTGCTGTGCAGAAGCTCTTTAGTTTAATTAGATCCCATTTGTCAATTTTGTCTTTTGTTGCCATTGCTTTTGGTGTTTTGGACATGAAGTCCTTGCCCATGCCTATGTCCTGAATGGTATTGCCTAGGTTTTCTTCTAGGGTTTTTATGGTTTTAGGTCTAACATTTAAGTCTTTAATCCATCTTGAATTGATTTTTGTATAAGGTGTAAGGAAGGGATCCAGTTTCAGCTTTCTACATATGGCTAGCCAGTTTTCCCAGCACCATTTATTAAATAGGGAATCCTTTCCCCATTGCTTGTTTTTCTCAGGTTTGTCAAAGATCAGATAGTTGTAGGTATGCGGCGTTATTTCTGAGGGCTCTGTTCTGTTCCATTGATCTATATCTCTGTTTTGGTACCAGTACCATGCTGTTTTGGTTACTGTAGCCTTGTAGTATAGTTTGAAGTCAGGTAGTGTGATGCCTCCAGCTTTGTTCTTTTGGCTGAGGATTGACTTGGCGACGCGGGCTCTTTTTTGGTTCCATATGAACTTTAAAGTAGTTTTTTCCAGTTCTGTGAAGAAAGGCATTGGTAGCTTGATGGGGATGGCATTGAATCTGTAAATTACCTTGGGCAGTATGGCCATTTTCACGATATTGATTCTTCCTACCCATGAGCATGGAATGTTCTTCCATTTGTTTGTATCCTCTTTTATTTCCTTGAGCAGTGGTTTGTAGTTCTCCTTGAAGAGGTCCTTCACATCCCTTGTAAGTTGGATTCCTAAGTATTTTATTCTCTTTGAAGCAATTGTGAATGGGAGTTCACTCATGATTTGGCTCTCTGTTTGTCTGTTGCTGGTGTATAAGAATGCTTGTGATTTTTGTACATTGATTTTGTATCCTGAGACTTTGCTGAAGTTGCTTATCAGCTTAAGGAGATTTTGGGCTGAGACAATGGGGTTTTCTAGATACACAATGATGTCGTCTGCAAACAGGGACAATTTGACTTCCTCTTTTCCTAATTGAATACCCTTTATTTCCTTCTCCTGCCTAATTGCCCTGGCCAGAACTTCCAACACTATGTTGAATAGGAGTGGTGAGAGAGGGCATCCCTGTCTTGTGCCAGTTTTCAAAGGGAATGCTTCCAGTTTTTGCCCATTCAGTATGATATTGGCTGTGGGTTTGTCATAGATAGCTCTTATCATTTTGAAATATGTCCCATCAATACCTAATTTATTGAGAGTTTTTATCATGAAGGGTTGTTGAATTTTGTCAAAGGCTTTTTCTGCATCTATTGAGATAATCATGTGGTTTTTGTCTTTGGCTCTGTTTATATGCTGGATTACATTTATTGATTTGCGTATATTGAACCAGCCTTGCATCCCAGGGATGAAGCCCACTTGATCATGGTGGATAAGCTTTTTGATGTGCTGCTGGATTCGGTTTGCCAGTATTTTATTGAGGATTTTTGCATCAATGTTCATCAAGGATATTGGTCTAAAATTCTCTTTTTTGGTTGTGTCTCTGCCCAGCTTTGGTATCAGAATGATGCTGGCCTCATAAAATGAGTTAGGGAGGATGCCCTCTTTTTCTATTGATTGGAATAGTTTCAGAAGGAATGGTACCAGTTCCTCCCTGTACCTCTGGTAGAATTTGGCTGTGAATCCATCTGGTCCTGGACTCTTTTTGGTTGGTAAGCTATTGATTATTGCCACAATTTCAGCTCCTGTTATTGGTCTATTCAGAGATTCAACTTCTTCCTGGTTTAGTCTTGGGAGAGCGTATGTGTCGAGGAATTTATCCATTTCTTGTAGATTTTCTAGTTTATTTGCGTAGAGGTGTTTGTAGTATTCTCTGATGGTAGTTTGTATTTCTGTGGGATCGGTGGTGATATCCCCTTTATCATTTTTTATTGTGTCTATTTGATTCTTCTCTCTTTTTTTCTTTATTAGTCTTGCTAGCGGTCTATCAATTTTGTTGATCCTTTCAAAAAACCAGCTCCTGGATTCATTGATTTTTTGAATGGTTTTTTGTGTCTCTATTTCCTTCAGTTCTGCTCTGATTTTAGTTATTTCTTGCCTTCTGCTAGCTTTTGAATGTGTTTGCTCTTGCTTTTCTAGTTCTTTTAATTGTGATGTTAGGGTGTCAATTTTGGATCTTTCCTGCTTTCTCTTGTGGGCATTTAGTGCTATAAATTTCCCTCTACACACTGCTTTGAATGCGTCCCAGAGATTCTGGTATGTTGTGTCTTTGTTCTCGTTGGTTTCAAAGAACATCTTTATTTCTGCCTTCATTTCCTTATGTACCCAGTAGTCATTCAGGAGCAGGTTGTTCAGTTTCCATGTAGTTGAGCGGCTTTGAGTGAGATTCTTAATCCTGAGTTCTAGTTTGATTGCACTGTGGTCTGAGAGATAGTTTGTTATAATTTCTGTTCTTTTACGTTTGCTGAGGAGAGCTTTACTTCCAAGTATGTGGTCAATTTTGGAATAGGTGTGGTGTGGTGCTGAAAAAAATGTAAATTCTGTTGATTTGGGGTGGAGAGTTCTGTAGATGTCTATTAGGTCTGCTTGGTGCAGAGCTGAGTTCAATTCCTGGGTATCCTTGTTGACTTTCTGTCTCATTGATCTGTCTAATGTTGACAGTGGGGTGTTAAAGTCTCCCATTATTAATGGGTGGGAGTCTAAGTCTCTTTGTAGGTCACTCAGGACTTGCTTTATGAATCTGGGTGCTCCTGTATTGGGTGCATATATATTTAGGATAGTTAGCTCTTCTTGTTGAATTGATCCCTTTACCATTATGTAATGGCCTTCTTTGTCTCTTTTGATCTTTGTTGGTTTAAAGTCTGCTTTATCAGAGACTAGGATTGCAACCCCTGCCTTTTTTTGTTTTCCATTTGCTTGGTAGATCTTCCTCCATCCTTTTATTTTGAGCCTATATGTGTCTCTGCACGTGAGATGGGTTTCCTGAATACAGCACACTGATGGGTCTTGACTCTTTATCCAATTTGACTGTCTGTGTCTTTTAATTGGAGAATTTAGTCCATTTAAAGTTAATATTGTTATGTGTGAATTTGATCCTGTCATTATGATGTTAGCTGGTGATTTTGCTTGTTAGTTGATGCAGTTTCTTCCTATTCTCCATGGTCTTTACATTTTGGCATGATTTTGCAGCAGCTGGTACCAGTTGTTCCTTTCCATGTTTAGCGCTTCCTTCAGGAGCTCTTTTAGTGCAGGCCTGGTGGTGACAAAATCTCTCAGCATTTGCTTGTCTGTAAAGGATTTTTTTTCTCCTTCACTTATGAAGCTTAGTTTGGCTGGATATGAAATTCTGGGTTGAAAATTCTTGTCTTTAAGAATGTTGAATATTGGCCCCCACTGTCTTCTGGCTTGTAGGGTTTCTGCCGAGAGATCAGCTGTTAGTCTGATGGGCTTCCCTTTGAGGGGTAACCCGACCTTTCTCTCTGGCTGCCCTTAACATTTTTTCCTTCATTTCAACTTTGGTGAATCTGACAATTACGTGTCTTGGAGTTGCTCTTCTCAAGGAGTATCTTTGTGGTGTTCTCTGTATTTCCTGAATCTGAACGTTGGCCTGCCTTGCTAGATTGGGGAAGTTCTCCTGGATAATATCCTGCAGAGTGTTTTCCAACTTGGTTCCATTCTCCCCATCACTTTCAGGTACACCAATCAGACGTAAATTTGGTCTTTTCACATAGTCCCATATTTCTTGGAGGCTTTGCTCATTTCTTTTTATTCTTTTTTCTCTAAACTTCCCTTCTGGCTTCATTTCATTCATTTCATCTTCCATCGCTGATACCCTTTCTTCCAGTTGATCGCATCGGCTCCTGAGGCTTCTGCATTCTTCACGTAGTTCTCGAGCCTTGGTTTTCAGCTCCATCAGCTCCTTTAAGCACTTCTCTGTATTGGTTATTCTAGTTATATATTCTTCTAAATTTTTTTCAAAGTTTTCAACTTCTTTGCCTTTGGTTTGAAAGTCCTCCCGTAGCTCAGAGTAATTTGATCATCTGAAGCCTTCTTCTCTCAGCTCGTCAAAGTCATTCTCCATCCAGCTTTGTTCCGTTGCTGGTGAGGAACTGCATTCCTTTGGAGGAGGAGAGGTGCTCTGCGTTTTAGAGTTTCCAGTTTTTCTGTTCTGTTTTTTCCCCATCTTTGTGGTTTTATCTACTTTTGGTCTTTGATGATGGTGATGTACAGATGGGTTTTTGGTGTAGATGTCCTTTCTGTTTGTTAGTTTTCCTTCTAACAGACAGGACCCTGAGCTGCAGGTCTGTTGGAGTACCCTGCCTTGTGAGGTGTCAGTGTGCCCCTGCTGGGGGGTGCCTCCCAGTTAGGCTGCTCGGGGGTCAGGGGTCAGGGACCCACTTGAGGAGGCAGTCTGCCGGTTCTCAGATCTCCAGCTGCGTGCTGGGAGAACCACTGCTCTCTTCAAAGCTGTCAGACAGGGACATTTAAGTCTGCAGAGGTTACTGCTGTCTCTTTGTTTGTCTGTGCCCTGCCCCCAGAGGTGGAGCCTACAGTTGCAGGCAGGCCTCCTTGAGCTGTGGTGGGCTCCACCCAGTTGGAGCTTCCCGGCTGCTTTGTTTACCTAAGCAAGCCTGGGCAATGGTGGGCGCCCCTCCCCCAGCCTCGCAGCCGCCTTGCAGTTTGATCTCAGACTGCTGTGCTAGCCATCAGCGAGACTCCGTGGGCGTAGGACCCTCCGAGCCAGGTGTGGGATATAGTCTCGTGGTGCGCCGGTTTTTAAGCTGGTCTGAAAAGCGCAATATTCAGGTGGGAGTGACCCGATTTTCCAGGTGCGTCCGTCACCCCTTTCTTTGACTCGGAAAGGGAACTCCCTGACCCCTTGCGCTTACCAGGTGAGGCAATGCCTCGCCCTGCTTCGGCTTGCGCACGGTGCGCGCACCCACTGGCCTGCGCCCACTGTCTGGCACTCCCTAGTGAGATGAACCCGGTACCTCAGATGGAAATGCAGAAATCACCCGTCTTCTGCGTCGCTCACGCTGGGAGCTGTAGACCGGAGCTGTTCCTATTCGGCCTTGTTGGCTCCTCCCCCTGTTTTCCCTTACTTCTGACTCCTCTTCTTCTCCCCTTTGCTAGAAGGATGCGCATTGGAATTAGGGGTGCTGTGGAAGGCAATCGAGTTCATTTTTCTTGTTTTTTTTTGTTTTGTTGTGTTTTGAGATGGAGTCTCACTCTTGTTGCCCAGGCAGGAATGCAGTGGTGCCATCTCGGCTCACTGCAGCCTCCGCCTCCCAGGTTCAAGGGATTCTCCTGCCTCAGCCTCCCATGTAGCTGGGACTACAGGCACCCGCCATCATGCTTGGCTAATTTTTGTATTTTTTAGTAGAGGTGGGGTTTCACTATGTTGGCCAGGCTGGTCTCCAACTCCTGACCTCAGGTGTCTGTCCACCTCAGCCTCCCAAAGTGCTGGTAGAGGCTGTTTTGCCTGTTTAGGGCTTTCAGTGATAGGGAGCCCCCCACAGTAAAGCGACCCACCCCACTTTGGATTGGGTTCCCATTTTACCTTGTGATGCTGTAGCCTGGGCATTTTTTAGTACTAACCAGTTGGGGCTCACTGGACATTCAGGAGCATATTAATTTCCATATATTTGTATATTTTCCAAAAATTTCTCTCATTATTGATTTCTAGTTTTATTCCATTGTGGTCAGAGAAGATACTTGATATTATTTGAGTTTTTTTGAATGTGTTAAGACTTGTTTTGTGACCTAACATATGGTTTATCCTTGAGAATGATTCATGTGCTAAGGAGAGGAATGTGAATTCAGCAGCCATTGGAGCAAATGTTCTATAAATATCAATTAGATCCATGTAGGTCTATAGTGCAGATTAAGTCTGAAGTTTCTTTGTTGACTTTCTTTCTGGAAGATCTGTCCAATGCTAGTGGGCTGTTGAAGTCTCCAGTATTATTGCATTGGGGTTTATCTCTCTCTTTAGCTCTAATAATGTTGCTTTATATATCTAGGTGCTCCAATGTTGGGTGCATACATATTTAAAATTGTTATATCCTTTTGCTGAATTGATCCCTTTATCATTATATAATGACCTTCTTTGTCTCTTTTTATAGTTTTTGCTTGAAATTTATTTCGTCTAATATAAATATACCCACTCCTACTCTTTTTCCACCCCTTTATTTTCAGTCTCTGTGTACCTTTATAGATGAAGCGTGTTTCTTGTAGGCAACAGATCACTGGGTCCTGCTTTTTTTCAGTCAGCCACTCTATGTTTTTGATTGGATAGTTTAGTCCATTTACATTCAGTGTTATTATTGATGAGTAAGGACTTACCACTGCCATTTTATTATTTGTTTTATAGTTGTTGTGTGGTCTTACTTTCCTTCCTATCTTTTCCTTTTTTTTTTTTTTTTTTTTTTTTGAGATGGAGTCTTGCTCTGTCGCCAGGCTAGAGTGCAGTGGCACGATCTCGGCTCACTGCAATCTCTGTTTCCCAGGTTCAAGTGATTCTCCTGCCTCAGCCTCCCAAGTAGCTGGGATTACAGGTGCCCGCCACCATGCCTGGCTAATTTTTGTATTTTTAGTAGAGATGGAGTTTCACCATGTTGGCCAGGATGGTCTCGATCTCCTGACCTCGTGATCCACCCACCTCGGCCTCCCAAAGTGCTGGGATTACAGGCATGAGCCACTGCGCCTGGCCCTCCTTCCTTTTTTTTATTTTAGTGAAGGTGATTTCCTCTGATAGTATGTTTTAATTTCTTGCTTTTTATTTTTTTGTGTATCCATTGTATGTTTTTGGATTTGAGGTTATCATGAGGTTTGCAAATAATGTGTTATAACCTATTATTTTAAACTGATGGCAACTTAACATGATTGCATAAACAAACAAGCAAAAAGAAAATGAATAAAAACTTTACACTTTAACTTCATCCCTCCACCTCTCTAATTTTTTGATGTTTCTATTTATATCTTATTGTACTATCTGTGTCTTAAAAAGTTGTTTTGGTAATTATTTTTGATTGGTTCTTCTTTAAGTCTTTCTAATTAAGATCAGAAGAATTTACACACCACAATTAATATTCTATGTACTTACCATTAGCACTGAGTTTTGTGCCTTCAGCTGATTTCTTATTGCTCGTTAACATCTTTGTCTTTCAGATCGGAGACCATCCTTTAGGATTTCTTGTAGAACAGGTCTAGTGTTAATGAAATCCCTCAGCAAGCTGTTTCTCTGGGAAGGTTTTTACTTCTCCTTAGTATTTGAAGGATATTTCCACCAGATACACTCTTCTAGGGTAAACTTTGTTTTTTCCTTCAGTGCTTTAAATATATCATGCTACTCTCTCCTACCCTTTTCTCCACTGAAAAGTCTGCAGCCAGATATATTGGAGCTTCATTGTATGTTATTTTTTTCTTTTCTCTTGCTCCTTTTGGGATCCTTTCTTTATCTTTGATCTTTGGAAGTTTGATTATTAAATAACTTGAGGTAGTCTTTTTTGGGTTAAATCTGCTTGCTTTTCTACAACCTTCTTGTATATTGATATCTTTCTCTAGGTTTAGGATATTCTCTGCTATTATCCCTTTGAATAAACTTTCTATCATTATCTCTTTACCTCCTCTTTAAGGCCAATCACTCTTAGATTTGCCTTTTTGAGACTATTTTCTAGATCCTGTGGGTATGCTTCATTCTTTTTTATTCTTTTTTTTTTTTTGCCTCCTTTGTGTATTTTCAAATACCCTGTCTTCCAGCTTACTATTTCTTTCTCCTGCTTGATCATTTTTTCTATTAAGAGACTCTGCTGTATTCTTTTGCAGGTCAATTGCATTTTTCAGCTTCAGAATTGCTACTTGATTCTTTTTATCCATTTGAATTTCTTTGTTAAATTTATCTGATAGTATTCTGAGTTCCTTCTCAGTGTTATCTTGAATTTCTTTGAGTTTCCTCAAAACAACTATTTTGAATTCTCTCTCTGAAAGTTCACATATCTCTGTTTCTCCAGGAGTGGTTCCTCTTACCTTATGTAGTTCATTTGGTGAGGCCGTGTTTTCCTGGATTGTCTTGATGCTTGTGGAAGTTTTTCAGTGGCTGAGGATTGAAGGGTTAGATATTTATTGTAGTCTTGCCAGTCTGGACTTGTTTGTACCTGTCCTCTTGGAAATGCTTTCTAGGTATTTGAAGGGACTTGGGTGTTGTGATCTACATTTTTTTTTGTCACTGCAGCCATATCTGCATTAGGGTGCACCTCAAGCTCAGTAATGCTGTGGTTTTTGCCAACTTGTAGAGGTACCTACCTCCTTGGTGGTCTTGGATAAGGTCCAGAAGGATTATCTGGAGTACCAGGCAGAAACTTTTGATCTCTTCCCTTACTTTTTCCAAAACAAATGGAATCTCTCTCTCCCCTTCTCTGTGCTGAGCTTCCTGGAAGCTTCCTGAGCTTCCTGGGGGAGGGGTAACACAAGTACTCCTGTGGCCACCACCACTAGGGCTGTGCTGGGTCAGACCTGAAGACAGCACAGCACTGGGTATCATCCAAGACCCACTGTTACCACTCCTTGGCTACCACTTGTGTTTGCTCAAGGCCCTAGGGCTCTACAGTCAGCAGGTGGTAAAGACAACCAGGCTTGTCTTCTTCACTTTGGACTGCCAAGTCACCCAGGCCCTGGGTGAGTCCAGAGATGCCATCTGGGAGCCAGGGCCTATAGTTGGAAGCCTTAGAAATCTACCTGGTGCTCAATTTACTGCATCTGAAGATGACACCCAAACCACAAGAAAAAGGCCTTCCCACTCTTCCCCCACCTTTCCTCAGACAGAGGAGTCTCTCCCCATGTCCACCACCACCACAGGCCCATAAGAAATACTGACAGGTGTATTAGGCTGTTCTTGCATTTCTATAAACAAATACCTGAGATTGGATAATTTAAAAGAAAAGAGGTTTAATTGGCTCATGGTTCTGCAGCCTATACAGGAAGCATAACACTGGCATCTGCCTCTGGGGAGGCCTCAGATAGCTTTTACTCATGGTGGAAGTTTGAGGCACTTTACATGGTGAGAATGGGAGCAATAGAGAGAGAGGTGGGGAAGGGGCGTGCTTCACACTTAATCATATTTTGCAAGAACTCACTTATTATCACAAGAAAGCACCAAGCTATGGAGAATCTCCACCCATGACCCAAACACCTCCCATCAGGCCCCATCTGCAACACTGGAAATTATAATTCAACATGAGATTTGGGCAAGGACAAATATCCAAACTATATAATACCATTTCTGGTCCCCCACAAATCTCATGTACTTCTCACATTGCAAAACACAATCATGCTTTCTCAACAGTCCCCCAAAGTCTTAACTTGTTCCAAAAGTTCAATTTCTCATCCAAGACAAGGCAAATCCCTTCCACCTGAGTTTATAAAATCAAAAACAAGTTATGGACTTCCAAGATACAATGGGGCTATAGGCATTGGTTAAACATTCTCATTGCAAAAGGGAGAAATTGGCCAAAAGAAAGGAGCTGTAGGTTCCACTCAAGCTTGAAACCCAGCAGGGCAGTCATTAAATCTCAAAGCTCCAAAATAATCTTTGACTCCGTGTCCTACATCCTGGGCACACTGATATGAGGAATGGCCTCCCAAGGCTTTGGGCAGCTCTACCACTGTGGCTTTCCAGGGTTCAGCCCCTGTGGCTTCTCTCATGGCCTGGAGTTGAGTACCTGTGGCTTTTCCAGGTATAGGGTGCAAGCTGCCAGTGGATCTACCATTCTAGGGTCTGCAGGGTGGTGGCCCTTTTTCCACAGCTCCATTAAGCTGTGCCCCAGTGGGCACACTTTGTATGGGTCCTCCAATCCCCCATTTCCTCTCCTTACTGCCCTGTGAGGGCTCTGCCTCTGCAGCAGACTTCTGCCTGGATGTCAGGCTTTCCCATACATCCTCTGGCATCTAGGTGAAGGCTGCCAAGCCTCCTTCACTCTTGCTGTGCCCCTGCAAGCTTAACACCACATGGAAGCCACTAAGACTTATGGCTTACATTCTCCAAAGTGGCAGCATGAGCTGTACCTGGGCTCCTTTGAATCACAGCTGGAGCTGGAGTGGCTGGGATATGGGAACAGTGTCCCAAGGCTACACAGGGCAGCAGAACCCTGAGCCTGGCCCAAGAAACCATTCTTCCCTCCTAGGCCTCTGGATCCATGATGGGAGGGGCTGCCATGAAGGTCTCTGAAATGCTTTCAAGGACTTTTTCACATTGTCTTGGATAGTAGCACTTGCCTTCCCTTTAGTTATGCAAGTATCTCTAGCAAGTGGTTGCTCTACAGCCTGCTTGAATTCCTCTCCATAAAAAGTTCTTTCTTTCTTTGCCACATAGCCAGGCTCCACATTTTTCAAACTTTTACATTCTGCTTCCTGTTTAAATATAAATTCCAACCTTAAGTTATTTCTTTGCTCCTGCATCTGAGTGTGGGCTGTTAGAAGCTGCCAGGCAATTTCTTCAATGTTTTGCTGCTTAGAAATTTCTTCTGCCAAATATCTTAAGTCATCATTCTCAAGTTCGACCTTCCACAGATCCCTAGAGCATGAACACAATGCACCCCAGCTCTTTGCTAAGGCATAAACTGGGTGACCTTTGCTCCAGTTTCTAGTAAGTTCCTCATTTACATCTGAATCCTCATCAGCCTGGACTTCACTGTCCATATTACCATCAGTATTTTGGTTACAACGATTTAGCCAGTCTTTAAGAAGTTCGAAACTTTTCCACATTTTTCTGTCTTCTTCTGAGCCCTTCAAACTCTTCCATCCTCTGCCCATTACCCAGTTCTAAAGTCACTTCCACATTTTCAGATGTAGCCATTTTCAGGTATCTTTATAGAAATTCCCCTCTTCTCAATACCAATTTTCCATGTTAGGCTGCTCTTGCATTGCTATAAAGAAATATCCAAGACTGGGTAATTTATAAGAAAAGAGGTTTAATAGGCTTACAGTTCTGCAGGCTGTACATCAGCATCTGCTTCCGGGAAGGCCTCAGGGAACTTTTCCTCTGGCAGAAGGGTGCAGACACTTCACATGGCAAAAGTGGGAGAGAAAGACAGTTGTTATGGGAGGTGCTACACACGTAAACAACTAGATCTCTCAAGAACTCGCTCATGATCACGAGGCGTGCACCAAACCGTAAGGAATCTGCCTTCCTGACCCAAGCACCTCCCACCAGGCCCTATCTCCAACACTGGAGATTACAATTCAACATGAGATTTGGGCAGGGATAAATATCCAAACTATGTCAGCAGGCTACTGCCGGTGTTCGCTTAAGGCCCCAGGGCTCTTCAATCAGCCTCATGGTGAATGCTGCCAGGCCTGGGACTCACCCTTCAGGGCAAAAGGCTCCCTTTGGGTCCAGGGTATGCCCAGAAATGCCATCCAAGAGCCAAGAACTGGAATCAAGGACTCCAACAGCCTGCTTGGTGCTCTACCCGACTGTGGCTGAGCTGGTACCTAAGCTGCAAGACAAAGTCCCCTTTGTGCTTCCCTCTGCTTTTCTTAACCAGAAGGCATCTCTTTTCATAGACAGTACAGCTGTGAGTGTACTGGGTCTAACCTGAAGCCAGAATATCTGAGTCTCACCCAAGGCTGATGGTGTGTACTACTTGGTTACTGCTGCTGATTATTTGGGGCCCAAGGGCTCTTTAGTCAGCAGGTGATAAATCTTGCCAGGACTGAGTTCTTCCCTTCAAGGCAGCAGGTTCCCTTCTGGCCCAGGGTGTGTCCAGAAATGTCTGGGAATTTGGGCCTGAAATGGGGGCCTTGCAACTGCCCAGTGCCCTGGGCACTGTGGCTGAGCTGGTATCCAAGTTGCAAGACAAAGTCCTCTTATTCACTCTCAAGCAGAAGGGCCTCTTTCAAAGCTGCAAGCTATGCTGCCTCGGGTTGGTGAGGGGTGGCACAAGCACTCCTTTAGCTGCCCCATCTGGTGTCTCACTAGGTCACGTGCCCTCCCCTCCAAGTCCACTATCTCTGAGCCCAGCACAGCACCAGGACTCACCTAGCAGTTTCAGTCCTTGTGGCCTAGACTGCATTTCAAGTTTTTGCAGGACCCCAGAGTACTTTAGCCTGTGGTGGTGAGCCTTGCTGAAACTTGGGTTCTGACCCAGCTGCTGGGATGGGCAATTTTCCTCTGGCTAGAGTTTGTCTAAATGCGCCCTTCATGGACATTAGCTGAGTTTTACCCACGGTTGGCAGCACTGACTTTCAATACAAAGTCCCACACTCACTGCATTCTCTCTCCCCCAAGCACTCAGTCTCTCTCTGCACCATGTAGCCACTGCTGGGGGATGGGAGAAGGGCGACGTCTGTAATTCCAGACTGTCTTTCCTACACTTTTCAGTGCCTCTTTCAGCAATACGAAGTTCAAAACAGGTGCTGTGATTGCTTGCCTGATTTTGGATCTCATGAAGGTGGTTTTTGTGTGTAGATAGTTGTAAATTTGGTGTTCTTACAAGGAGGATGATCAGTGTAGGTTTCTATTGAGCCATCTTCCTCTGCATCCTCTATAGCTATTTTGTTGAGAGTTTTTATCAAGAAAGAATGTTCAATTTTGTTAAATGTTTTTTTCTACTTCTGTTGAGACACTTGTGTCTCTGTGATCATTTATTTCTTTCATTTTAAAATTCATTCTGTTAACACATTTTTATTTTGTTCTCTTAATGTGGTGTATCACATTGATTGATTTGCATCTGTCAATCATTCTTGTACCCTAGGGATACATCCCACTGGATTGTGGTGTATGGGCCATTAAATTGGGTTTGCTAGTATTTCTTCAGGGATTTTGTATCTATGTTCATCAGGGATATTGGCATGTAGCAGCGGTTCCTGCTTTGTCTCCAGAGATGGGGGTGCAATTGCTTGGGCTCTGCCCGGCTGTGTCAGGTGGAGTCAGCATTGGCAAAGACTGTGGAGGTCCTCAGTGGGGAAAGGTGTCCAAAGTGGAGAGAGGTCCTGAAGGATCTCCTACTCTTCTTTTCCCCTCATGAGGGGAAGTTGCTGCTGGCAGGATCCCTCTTGGCACCTGCTTTTCCAGCCTGGGGGATGGAATAATGCCAGAAAAATGTTCATATACAGGTATGCCTCATTTTATTGTATGAAGATATTTCAAATTTACAAATTGAAGGTTTATGGCAACCCTGCCTTGAGCAAGTCTATTGGTGCCATTTTTCCAACAACATGTGCTCACTTCAGGTCTCTGTGTCAAATTAATTCTCTCAATATTTAAAACTTTTTTGTTATTATATCTGTTATGGTGATTTATGATCATTTACCTTAGATGTTACCCTTGTAATTGGTTTTTGGCTCCACGAACTGCACCCATGTAAGATGGTGAACTTAACTGATAAATGTTGTATGTGTTCTGACTGCCCCACCAACCAGCAATTCCATTGCCTCTGTCCCTCTCCTTGGGTCTCTCTATTCCCTGAGACACAACAATATTGAAATTAGGTCAGTCAATAACCCTACAATGGCCTTTAAGTGTTGAAGTGAAGGAAGAGTTGCATGCCTTTCACTTTATTTTATTATTATTTTTGAGACAGGGTCTCACTATATTGCCCAGGCTGGTCTCAAACTCTTGAGCTTGAGAAACCCTCTTGCCTCAGCCTCACAAATAGCTGGGATTACAGGTGTGCACCACTGTACCCACCTTTCTCACTTTAAACCAAAATCGAGAGATTATTAAGCTTAGTGAGGAAGGCGTGTCTAAAGCAGGGATAGACTGGAAGCTAAGCCTTGCGTCAAACAGCCAAGTTGTGAATGCAAAGAAAAGGTTCTTGAAGAAAGTGAAAGTGCTACCCCAGTGAACTTATGAAAGATAAGGAAGTGAAACCGTCTTATTACTGACGTGGAGAGGGGTTGAGTGGTCTGGATAAGATCAAACCAGCCAAAACATTCCCTTTAGCCAAAGCCTAATCCAGAGCAATACCCTGACTCTCTTCAATTCTATGAAAACTGAGAGAGGGGAGGAAGCTACACAAGAAAAGTTGGAAGCTAGCAGAGGTTGATTCATAAGGTTTAAGAAAATAAGCCATCTCCGATATGGTGAAACCCTGTCTCTACTAAAAATACAGAAATTAGCTGGGTGTGGTGGCGGATGCCTGTAGTCCCAGCTACTTGGGAGGCTGAGACATGAGAATCGCTTGAACCTGGGAGGCAGAGGCTGCAGTGAGCCGAGATTGTGCCACTGCACTCCAGCCTGGGTGACAGAGCAAGACTCCATCAGAAAGAGAAAGAGAGAAATAGAGGAAGGAAGGGAAAGAGAGAGAGAGAGGAGGGAAAAGGAAGGGACCATCTCCGTAACACAAGTGTGAGAAGATGCCATCTAGAACTTTTTGAGCGAGAGAGGAGAAATCAAGACCTGGCTTCACAGGTTCAAAGAACAGACTGACTCTTGTTAGGATCGAATGCAGCTGGTTACTTGAAGTTAAAGCTAATGCTCTTTTACCATTTCAAAAATCCTACAGCCCTTAACGATTATACTAAATGTATTCTGCCTGTGCTCTATCAGTGGAATAACAAAATTCTGGATGACTGCACATCTGTTTACAGCATGGTTTACCGAATATTGTAAGCCACTGTTGAGACCTGCTGCTCAGAAAAAAAAGATTCCTTTCAAAATATCACTGCTCATTGACAATGCACCTGTTCACTCAAGGACTCTGATGGAGACACACAAGGAGATTAATGTTGTTTTCAAACACAACGTCCATTCTGCAGCTCGTAGATCGGGGAGTCATGTCTCCTTTTTTTTTTTTTTTTAAGTCTCAGGAGCTCTCTCCACTTTGGACACCTTTCCCCACTGAGGACCTCCACAGTCTTTGCCAATGCTGACTCCACCTGACAGAGCGGGGCAGAACCCAAGCAATTGTACCCCCTTTGAAGCAAGAGTTTCACTCTTGTTGCCCAGGCTGGAGTGCAATGGTGTGATCTCAGCTCACCACAACCTCCGCCTCCTGGGGTCAAGTGATTCTTCTGCCTCAGCCTCCCTAGTAGCTGGGACCACAGGCATGCAACACCACACCCGGCTAACTTTGCATTTTCAGTGGAGATGGGGGTCTCTCCAAGTTGGTCAGGCTGGTCTCGAACTCCCGACCTCAGGTGATCTGCCTGCCTCGGCCTCCCAAAGTGCTGGGATTACAGGCACAAACCACCGCACCTGGCCAAGTCATGTCTATTTTCAAGTCTATTATATAAGAAACACGTTTTGTAAGGCTGTGGCTGCCATAGACAGTGATTCCACTGATGTACCTGGGCAAAGTAAACTGAAAACCTTCTGGAAAGGATTCGCCATTCTGTTTTTGTGTTTTGGTTTTTGTTTTGTTTGAGATGGAGTCTTGCTCTGTCACCCAGGCTGGAGAGCAGTGGTGTGATCTCAGCTCACTGCAACCTCTGCCTCCAGGGTTCAAACTATTCTCCTGCCTCAGCATCCCTAACAGCTGGGATTATAGGCGCCTGCCACCGCTCCCGGCTACTTTTTGTGTTTTTAGTGGAGACAAGGTTTCACCATCCTCACCAGGTATGCCTGTGTTTTTCTATGCTGCAGCCACTCTGTTTCTGTGCTACACTGTGCTGCTGAACCTTCTTAAATGTACTGTGGCACTCTCCCAGAGCTATTTTTGTCCCTGAGAAGTTGTTAAATGTTTGGGACTTCCTGGTTGCCATTTTGCTGACATCACTGCATCAATGCCTAGTTTGAATTTTGTCTGATATTTTCTCATGCGTAGATTCAGGCTATGAAGCTGTGGGCAGGAGCATGACAGAAATGCTATGTCCTTCTGCGTGCGGTCTATGAGAAGGCACATAATTTATCCCAATATTGGTGATGCTGTTGTTGACCACTTGTGAAAGGTGATATATACTAGTCTGTCTACTGAAGAGATACAATTTTTTCTTTGTAATGAATAAATATCCTGGGACAACTGTTATTGTGTCTGCTAAATATGATTTTTTTTCTGATTCAATCATGCCTTATACATTAGTTGAAATTATATCCAAGGAAGATTTTTTTTATTATTTGTTTATTCATCTGTTTGTTCATTTATTCATTCATTTATTAATCCATTTGCAGCAGTATGATAAACTTATTTTGATTTTATCTATGAGTTATAATTCATTCCTATCTTTATATTGTTGCTTGATTTTCCCACTTTGTCACTGGGAACCCTTCGAGTTGGCTTCTGTGTCTTTTGGCATGCTTTCAGCAATTTTGGAACACTTTCCTCCTTTCTGGCAAAACAAATGTTCCAGACTCATCTTTTATTTTCTCTGTCCAGAAGTGGAATTATACGTTTCTCCAAAAAGTCTTTATTTCTCTTAGAAGAGAATGCTATTTCAAAGCTGAGGTCTGGGTAATTAATAGATGTGCTCATTGCTATTGAGTTGTCATTGCTTCGAGGTCCTTTCAATGGACAGAGCCAAGACATACGCATATACACAAATACACACACCTCCATCTCCTCTCTCTCCCCAGAACTATGCGCTTATAACCATACTTTCAATTCCAGTGCAACATCTCAGGGTTCATTCTAGCCCTTCCCCTTTCTGTATTTGTTTGTTTGTTTTGAGATGGAGTCTCACTCTGTCACCCAGGCTGGAGTACAGTGGCACGATCTCGGCTCACTGCAGCCTCCATCTCCCGGGTTCAAGTGATTCTCCTGCCTCAGCCTCCCAAGTAGCTGGGATTACAGATGCCTGCCACCATGCCTGGCTAATTTTTGTATTTTTAGTAGAGACGGGGTTTCACCGTATTGGTCAGGCTGGTCTAGAACTCCTGACGTCAAATGGTCTACCGCCTCAGCCTCCCAAAGTGCTGGGATGACAGGCGTGAGCCACCATGCCTGGCCAACCCTTTCCGTATTTGTAACTCCCTTCTTCAACATTATGCAACCTGGCTCTTATTATGTTGTCCATATTATATTTATTTATTTGCTAAATCTTAGAATATACATAAAGTATTTCCATACTACTGTAAAAAGAAAATAACAAGAGAATATATTTTTTAAAGTTAGTTTTCTTTATCCTGAACATATATAGTCAAATTGCTATGTTCAAGAGTTGCTTGGATTAGATCTCCTTCCTTTTCTTCAGTGTGGTTTGTTATTAATTTGAAATACAGTTAGATTTATTTGTTTCTAGTTGTATTATTTTTTGGTTTTCTTCTATACTTGATTTTATATACATATCTGTTTGTATAGCTGTATCAACATCTATACCTAGAGCTCAATCTATCTGCCTATATGGTATGTTTTATGATTTTATAACACATTCCCCTCCCACTCCCACTGTCTTTCAAATGAGCAACATAACCACACCGAAAGGGGGCAGGGAGAATTAATCTAGGTCTTTTTTTTTTAAAAGGAGTCTCGCTCTGTTACCCAGGCTGGAGTGCAATGGCGTGATCTCAGCTCACTGCAATCTCTTCCACCTCCCGGGTTCAAGCAGTTCTCCTGCCTCAGCCTCCCAAGTAGCTGGGATTACAGGCGCCCGCCACCATGCCCGGCTAATTTTTGTATTTTTAGAAGAGATGAGGTTTCACCATGTTGGCCAGGCTGGTCTTGAACTCCTGACCTTGTGATCTGCCTGCCTCAGCCTCCCAGAGTGCTGGGATTACAGGCGTGAGCCACCGTGCCCGGCCGGGTTAGTGATTCTAAGACAACTGTAAGTATATTCTAAAATTGAGCTTTTCTTTTCCAGTCTTTTTCTGGAGGAAGAGCAATCAAGTTTGTGGCCACAGAGATGCTGGTGGGATGGACATGGTTCTGGATCTGAGCTCTAATCACAATTGCAGCAGCTGCACCCAGAGGACCAGTGCTGGATCCCCACTCTGGGGAAGGCAATGGCTGTGCACCCTGGAGCTCATGTTCACTGGGGATCTGCAGGTGGAGCTGGAGGTATGTCCACAGCCCGCAGTTTTCTAACATCTGCTGCCCCTTGTTCCCAAACTACTTCTTGCTGGAGGCTCACGAAGCACTGTGTCTTTCTCTTGGCATCTCCCCATTTCCTGACCAAGTTTAGAATGAGCTTCTCATAAAGACTCCAAGAAAAAACCCACACTGAAATGAGAATGGCCATGGCTTCACAATTTCTCTATGGTCTCGAGAGATGATTCCCTCCAGGCAACACATTTTAATTTTAGCAGAGGCCTTTTGCGACTTAAGAGTATCATTGCAAATATGAAAGGAGATTTTTTTTGATAGATTGGTTAGCTCTTTAGTTCCACCCAAGAAACAGGCAGATAATAACTTCTCATGCAAGAAATCCCAGTACTGTTGGACCACATCCTTCCCCATTCCAAGAAACTGCTCCTGAGGGGATACAGAGGGCATGGGAAATGACAAAGCTCCCATTTCCCAAGGGACACCCCAGGGAACTCACACAGAGCCTACCTGGGAAATAAATAAATAGGACAAGTCCCCTGTAGCCCAGGGCTGGAGAACCTAGGATTATTCCAGAGGTCGTGGGGTTAATGAACAGAAATCTCCCATCTGCTATCCTGCTGCAGTTGGGGTACAGCAAAGTTCTGCTGCCACAGAGGAAGGGGAACCTGGCCGTGTTCATCGCGCCACAGGGGGACAGCCTCCGAGTTCTCAAGCAGCTTTTTAATGTGTATTTCCGATGATGTAGAGGACAGAAGAGGCAACAGGTCATTGTGATGGTGGCTGTCGTGGACACAGGCTGGAAGGTAAGCCTCCCAGCTGGGGTGGGACACAAGTCCCAGGAGAGCCTCTGTTCAACAGAGAAATGGTGCTGAGAGAATATGAAAGTACCTAAGACATGTTCTCCATCTCCAAGAGTCAAAGTCAAGTAGGGAATAAAGACCTAATGATTTGATAACAAAAATATAATGAAATCTTGAAACTTGCACTTTTGGGGAGGAAGGACTGTAAAAGTCTAAAAGTCTTTTCATCCCAAAGACAAGAGATTCCCGAGGCAGTTTATGGAGTCACCAAATGAAATCTCGACACTTGCAGCACTTTGGGAGGCCGAGGCGGGTGGATCACGAGGTCAGGAGTTTAAGACCAGCCTGGCCAAGATGATGAAACCCGGTCTCTACAAAAAATACAGAAATTAGCCAGGTGTGGTGGTGGGCGCCTGCAATCCTAGCTACTAGGGAGGCGGAGGCAGGGAATTGCTTGAACCCAGGAGACGGAGGTTGTAGTGAGCCAAGATCGTGCCACTGCACTCCAGCGTGGGCGACAGAGTGAGACTCTGTCTCAAAAAAAAAAAAAAAATCTTGACACTTGCACTTTTTGGGAGGAAGGACTAAGAGAGCGGATAC
The DNA here is from genome assembly GCF_000001405.40 of Homo sapiens. Lineage (NCBI taxonomy): Eukaryota > Metazoa > Chordata > Mammalia > Primates > Hominidae > Homo > Homo sapiens. Next base: position 3,162,304 of record NC_000017.11, on the reverse strand, counting down.
AGCATCTGATTAATGGGCCTGCTGGCCAGAAGGAAAAGCTATTTGGGTCCAAATATAAGCTGTGCATGGCCACTCTTCTTTGCAAAGCACACCACACCAGGGCATAACATTTGGAATCAAAAGAGTAATGATCAGATCCAGATTCTGCTACTTATCAGGGGTGTGACTTTGGGGTAACTCACTCAGCCTCTTAAGCCTCAGCGTGCTCCTTTCACACAGGATGATAGCCAGGTCTGTCTCCAGTGACTCTAGAGGGAATTTAGGACATTCTTGGGTCACGGCTCCTAGATACAATGCAAGGTTCTGGACTGGATTCCTATTTTAACAAAGCAGACAAAAAGGATAGTTTCAGGGAAACTGGAAAGATTTGAATATGGCCCAGTAATGAATAATAATAAGAAATCATCATTAATTGAGTTGGTGTGAAAGTGCTATTTGGGGCAAGTGGAAGAAGGTGTTTTTTTTTTAAAGAGATGTAGGCTGAATATTTAGGGGTGTAATGCCACAATAATTACAATTTACTTTAAAATATTGCAACATAAAAATGTAAATTTAAAAAGCCTATGTAGGGTGCAGATAATATTAATATGAACCCTCCAGAAGTGATCATCTGTTTTGTAGAGTAAAAACTTAAGAATTCCTCAAAAGTTTCACAGGAAAGCAACAAGAGATAAAAATAACGAGAAAAGGCCGGGCGCGGTGGCTCACGCCTGTAATCCCAGCACTTTGGGAGGCCAAGGCGGGCGGATCACGAGGTCAGGAGATCGAGACCATCCCGGCTAACACGGTGAAACCCCGTCTCCACTAAAAAAAAAAAAAAAAAAAAAATACAAAAAATTAGCCAGGTGTGGTGCAGTCGCCTGTAGTCCCAACTACTCCGGAGGCTGAGGCAGGAGAATGGCGTGAACCCGGGAGGCAGAGCTTACAGTGAGCCAAGATCACGTCACTGCACTCCAGACTGGGAGAGAGAGCAGTCTGGAGTTTTGTTTGTCTCAAACAAAAACAAACAAACAAACAAAAATGAATAAAGACTGGTAGGCTAGATAATGGCTTCGCAAATATGTCCACATCCAAATCTCTGGAACCTGTGTTACTTTACCTGGTATGTGTACTGCCACTGCTGTTGCAACAAATTGTCACAAACTTCGTGGCCTAAAACCACAGAAATGCACTCTCTCTCAGTTCTGGAGGTGTGAAGTCCTAAATCAAGCTGTCAGTAGGGCCACACTGCCTCCAGGGCTCCAGGGGAGGATCCTTCCCTGTCTCTCCAAGCTTCAGGTGGCCGCAGGGGATCCTTGGCTCCTGGCTGCATCACCCCACCTTCTGCCTGATAGTTATAGGGAATAGAGAACTAAAATCCAATGCAAAAATTTGAGAAACTCCAAAGGAAAATATTAGAGCCCTTTGTACTAAAATAGAGACTTGCAATTAGAAATCTAAATGGCTCTCAGAATTCTGCAAATAATTATTGAAGAACAATGGCTTATACATGTACGTATCTTGGAACTTTTAAATTTCAAAGAAAAATATTCACCAACCTCTGTTGAGTACGAATCAGTATTTATTGAGACCTTACTGTCCAGGATACTTTCCAAAGTTCTTTACCTGTTTTATTTAACCTTCACAATACAGTAAAAGGAAGAAACTATTTATTATCTCAATTTACCGGTGAGGAAGTTGACATTTAGAGAAATTACTTAAAATGTTCACATAAGCTGGGCACAGTGGCCTTTGCCTATAGTCCCAGCTATACAAGAGGTTGAGGCAGGAGAATCACTTGAGTGCACATGTTTGAGGCTAAAGTGAGCTATGGTTGCACCACTGCCCTCCAGCCTGGGTGACAGGGCAAGACCCTATCTCTAAAAGTAATAAATAATCATTTAACAATTATTTAAAGTTCATATAACTTTTAAATGGTAGAATCAAGACTCAAGCCCAATTCTCTCAAACTCAAAAACTTGGACTCTTGGGCTCTTGTGTTTGACCACAGCAAGTTGATTCCTTCTCATTTTCTAGGTGAACTCAAAGCTCTTTACCCTCAAAGCGGATCTCTGGCAAGAGGCAAGAACAGGTGACGTTTCCTTTACTAACAGTATGACATTCACTCATTCAACAAATATTAACTGAGTATAAACTATATGACAGGAACCCTGTAAGTATCTGGGGGTAGAAATTATTGCACATAAAAGCCGGGATGGATGGATGGATAGATAAGACACAAGGGATATATATATACACATACATATATGTATATATACACACACATACGTTATATATACACACACATATATATATATGAGTGCAGGCTATATATTTTTTCTCAGCTTTGGTAACCACAGGCTAAAAATAGAAATTGAAAAAAAAAATCACAGCAGCAACAATGACAAAATCTATGAAATAACTTAAGAATAAATGCAAGCTCCGCCTCCCGGGTTCACGCCACTCTCCTGCCTCAGCCTCCCGAGTAGCTGGGACTACGGGCGCCTGCCACCACACCGGGCTAATTTTTTGTATTTTCAGTAGAGGTGGGGTTTCACTGTGTTAGCCAGGATGGTCTCAATCTCCTGACCTCGTGTTCCACTCACCTCAGCCTCCCAAAGTACTGGGATTACAAGCGTGAGCCACCGCGCCTGGCCTTGTTTGATATTTTCTATCCTTCCTTTTTTAATCACTTGATCTGCCTTGGACTGACAAAACCTTCTCTTTTTATTAATGTGTTTCTGTTTCTTCGTGTATCTTTTAAAGAAAATTTCTGTTTTATGTAGTACCCAGATATTATAGATTTATTATACTCTAAGTTCTGGGATACATGTGCAGAATGTGCAGGTTTGTTATATAGGTATACACATGCCATGGTGGTTTGCTGCACCCATCGACCCATCATCTACATTAGGTATTTCTCTTAATGCTATCCCTCCCCTGGCCCCCCACCCCTCAACAGGCCCTAGTGTGTGATGTTCCCCTCCCTGTGTCCCTGTGTTCTCACTGTTCAGCTCCCACTTATGAGTGAGAACATGTGGTGTTTGGTTTTCTGTTCCTGTGTTAGTTTGCTGAGAATGATGGTTTCCAGCTTCATCCATGTCCCTGCAAAGGACATGAACTCATCCTTTTTTTATGGCTGCATAGTATTCCATGGTGTATATGTGCCACATTGTCTTTATCCAGTCTATCATTGATGGGCATTTGGGTTGGTTCCAAGTCTCTGCTATTGTGAATAGTGCTGCAATAAACATACGTGTGTATGTGTCTTTATAGTAGAATGATTTATAATCCCTTGTGTATGTACCCAGTAATGAGGTTGCTGGGTCAAATGGTATTTCTGGTTCTAGATCCTTGAGGAATCACCACACTGTCTTCCACAATGGTTGAACTAAGCCAAACTAAGCTTCATAAATATTATAGATTTTTATTTTGATTGTAGGTTTAGTTTTGTCCTCCTGAATTCTGTTTTTTCGATATAAGGATCACATTGTTTTGGTCACATTAACCTATGTCTTTGCCTATCATTTCATTTTCAATCATTCTGAATTACTTTATTTTAGCAATTTCTCTTATATACAGAATAGAGTTGGGTTTTGCTTTGAGAGTCAGTTTGAAGGATTTTTCTTTTAAAAGGTTCATTAAGCTCATTTACATTTATTAACATAACTGATGTGTTGGTGTGCCATATGACTTTATGTTTAGTATGTAGTCTGCCATTCTCTTTCTGATCATAGGAAGTTTTCATAATGCTAATATCATAATATAATACCTTTAGTCTCTTCTTTCTTTAGACAGTATCTTTTGTTCCTTATTATATACAATGAAATTAACTTGTAAACTTTATTCTCCCGTCTCCTACCTCTTTTTCACCATTCAATATTACTATTTTTTCAAGAATATTCTTTATCCTCTTAGACAAGCTTAAGCTTCTACTATTTGACTTATTTGCTTTATATGATATTCCTTTTCTCCTAAGAGATAATCAGAAACTTATACTTCCTACTTTCTTCCTTTTCGCACTTATTGGCTAGTTATTTCCATATTATTAGCATATATTGCATTTAGGTATTATCCTGTCACCTTTAGCCCCACATTCTGATCCTAGTTTAGTTCTGCAGTAAATCTATATTCAATGCTTTTCACTAAGATTATTCCAACATTTTCCTGATTATATGAACCGCATCTTCTAGTAGAAACCCCAGAAAGAGCCATGGGAACAATAATCCCTGAGTTTCTTTATGTTCAGACTCTTTGCTTGTAGCCCTTATACTTAAAGTACAGACTGGTTGCTATAAAACTCCTGGCTTATCTTTATATTTCTGAGTTTCTTGTAAGTGTTCTTTTATTATTTCCTGGTATAAAAAGTTGCTATCAAGACTGATGTCAACCTGATTTTTTTTTGGTTGGGGAAGAGGAACTGGTTACTTGAAGGATTCTTTGTTTATTTTAAAGGTCTAACAATTTTACTAAGATATTTTTTGGAATTTACTATTTTATGTCCATTTTCCAAGATATATGCCTTTTCGATATGTAGATTAAAGTCTTTTATTTCTGGGAAGTTCATTTTAAATTAATTTTTAATCTTCTATTCTGAAATTTACTTTTTTCTTTGGGATTCTGCTTATAATATACTGAATCTTCTTGGTCAGTCTTCTAGACCTATTTAAGTCTTTCACTCCATTCTTTATTTTTGTTTATTTTGCTTTTCTGATTTCTAGTCTTTAGGTCCTTTATAATGATTTCTGTATTGTTCATTTTTAAAAACTCTTTGTAACTTATTCTTCATCGAGTAAGTAGCTTTTGCTTTAATTTCTTTCCAGACTTCTCTCAGTTCCTATTTCACACCTTCTTGTGGTCAGGCATATTATTTTGTCTGAGTTTACTTATTTCCTCTTTGTAGTATTCTTTCACAATTAGTTCTATCACTTTGAAAATTATTGAAGACATGTTGTAATTCTTGAAGACATGTTGTATTGGAATTTTTCTCAATAGAGACAATTTCCTAGTGAGTTCTCTTGTGATAAAAAGCTTGACTTTTCAGGGGTTCCTTTTTTTATATTTCTGTATAGGTCCAGCAATTTAGTCATTAGTTATGATTCACATTTGAACAATTTGCCTTTTTTCTGTACCAGAGATTTAGCAAGATGAGGGTAACTTGCCCAGATTCTCCATTCAGGGACTCCTTCCTTTGCTACAATGATGAAGGTTGCTTCATCACATGAGGCTTCTGTGTACAAGTGCCTCACCTTTCCTCTTCACCTTTGTTCAGCATGACTTCTTGCCCTGTTTCCTCAGATCTATACATAACTATCCCTCAGGGTTATGCCCTCTGTTTCTAGGCATGATTGTCAGCTAAGGATTTGTAGATTCTGATACTCCCCATTACTCCCTGCCCTACTCACCTACTTTGCTACTTGGCCTTTACTTTCCACATTGATGGGGCTGATTCATGGTGTTTTCTTCCACTCATTTCCAAGGTTTTTTTTTTTTTTTTTTAATTGTGGGATGTTTCTGACACTCAGTTTCAATGAAAGTATATGTATCTGAGCTTATATTGCCCCTCCTTGTCACTTTGCATAGTTCTCAGGGGATACATAAGAAAATCAGGATCTGGACAATCACTGTTTAGTCCCGAATACATAATTCAGATATAAATGGTTCCATGCACCCTTTTCTTAATGTAGTTCCCTTTGTACCCTTTTTATTCTTTCTTCAGATATGTAGTTGTTGAAAAGGATACCAAAATCTTATGAAAGTTTTATCTGTGACTTGATCAAATTATGTTTTAGAACTTCTCCCTTTCACAGAGTCCTCAAAGCCATCACCGCCAGTCAACACTTCACTCCATTCAGTCCAAGGGTGTTTATGCAGATAAAAAACACAGAATGCACTGCTTCGCTGGGTAAAGACAGTCAAGATGCATGTACAGAGGGTGAGAAGACTGATAAATGTTTGCAGAATTGAACTGAATTAAACTGACCCAAACTCATGTTTCACTCCGTGTTTTAAAATTCTCAGCCTTTAGAAGAATAAATTCAGGAAAGGAAAGTAGAAAAGTGGAAACTCTAAATCATTTAATAACATTTATTTCTCTATATTCAAGACACTACTACAGCTACTGTGTGGACGACATAGCATGTTAAAGAATCTATCATTAATACGGGGGCACAAAAATGTTCAAAAAAGAGATGTGTAGTCAAAATATTGGGAAGTTTGGTGCAGGAACAACCTTTTTCTTATAGAAGGACCATGAATTAAGTAGTAGGTGGCATTTGTGTGGAAATGTGTGGAATTTTACCAGTCAGAATGGAGAGAAAAGTCACCCCCACATAGTGGCCGTACTCATTAGGGGACCTTTACTCCCTGTTGCTGATTTCTTTCTTCCTTCCTTTTTCTCATTCTGTGGCCCAGGCTGGCATGAGTGAGGCAATTTTGGCTCACTACCAGCCTCCCTGGTTCAAGCGATTCTCCTGACTCAGCCTCCCGAGTAGCTGCGATTACAGGCGCCTGCCACCACACCAGGCTAATTTTTTTGTATTTTTAGTAGAGATGGGGTTTCACCATGTTGCCCAGGTTATTCTCGAACTCCTGCCCTTAAGTGATCTGCCCACCCAGGCCTCCCAAAGTGCTGTATTTCAGGCCTGAGTCAGCTTACCCGGCCTATTGCTGATGTTTCTATCCATATGAAGGCCTCTTCCATCAGAATAGCCCTACCTGCTTCTCCAGTGGTAACCCTGGGTTGAGTTACCTGATTGCTGAGTTTTGGCCTTCAGCTTCTCTTTCAGGACACATTCGGTCCTGTCCTGTTTAAGATTCTGGAGACTAGTAAAGACCCACTATATACAGGTTACTTTTTGAGGTGTCAGTGAAACTCCAAAGAACAAATCAGATTCTCTAAATAGTTGATTGTTGAATTGGTTTCCAGAAGAATAGATAACATGAAATTGCATCTTCAGAGAATATTGAGTTTTGGGCTTGATTAATCAGAACAGGTGCAGTCTTGGGGTCTGAGAGTGGTTTGAAAGCAGGTGAATGGCTGGAAAACTTGTATCCAACTCATATAAGATTTTAATAGAAGCAGTTATGTCTAGCCCATTAGATCGAAAATTCCCTGAGGTTAAGGGTTATCACTGTGCCAGGTCCAGAGTCAGTAATTAATTTCTGTAAAATTAATGAAAGAAAGCATCTTAACTCCTCTGAGAGTACAACTAAAGAAATTTGGGATGGAAAAGAGTGTAGAAAAACAAACGAGAAATGTATTTTAATTACCTTATGTTGTATCTCGCACACTTTCTAGCATAGTGTATTTCAGTAAAAATTTACAGTGCAACATAGTAGATGGCCAATAAAAGTACTTTCTTTCTTTCTTCTTCTTCTTCCTTAAAGCTCAGAGAATAGCATGCTCACCAATCTAAAGTAAAACATTTTTATAGAATTCTAATGGGGCTCACTCAAGATTTTTTTCCTCCGACCTCTGAGCTCCTGGAAGGAGGGAATCAGACTAGCACCTTTGAGTTCCTCCTCTGGGGACTCTCAGACCAGCCACAGCAGCAACACATCTTCTTCCTGCTGTTTCTGTGGATGTACGTGGTCACTGTGGCTGGGAACCTGCTCATTGTCCTGGCCATTGGCACTGACACACACCTCCACACCCCTATGTACTTCTTCCTTGCCAGCTTGTCGTGTGCAGATATCTTTTCCACCTCCACCACTGTGCCCAAGGCCCTGGTGAATATCCAGACCCAGAGCAGGTCCATTTCCTACGCAGGGTGTTTGGCACAGCTCTACTTCTTCTTGACTTTTGGGGACATGGACATCTTTCTCCCGGCTACAATGGCCTATGACCGCTATGTGGCCATTTGCCACCTGCTCCACTATATGATGATCATGAGCCTCCACCGCTGTGCCTTCCTGGTGACAGCCTGCTGGACCCTCACAAGTCTTCTCGCCATGACTCGCACCTTCCTCATATTCCGGCTTTCCTTGTGCTCTTAGATCCTTCCTGGCTTCTTCTGTGATTTGGGACCGCTGATGAAGGTGTCTTGCTCTGACGCCCAGGTCAATGAGCTTGTGCTCCTCTTCCTAGGGGGAGCAGTCATTTTAATCCCTTTTATGCTCATCCTGGTCTCTTATATCCGCATTGTTTCAGCCATCCTCAGGGCCCCCTCTGCCCAGGGAAGGCGCAAGGCCTTCTCTACCTGCGACTCTCACCTCGTTGTTGTTGCTTTGTTCTTTGGGACAGTGATCAGGGCTTATCTGTGCCCCTCATCCTCTTCCTCCAACTCAGTAAAGGAGGATACAGCGGCTGCTGTCATGTACACAGTGGTGACTCCCCTGCTGAACCCCTTTATTTACAGCATGCGGAACAAGGACATGAAGGCGGCGGTGGTTAGACTTCTCAAGGGCAGGGTCTCCTTCTCACAGGGCCAGTGACTTCTGCTGAGAAACCCAAGGTGTTCTCCATCCCCTCCAGTGAGGGGCTTGACAGAAATTTCTACCTCAAGTGTGTAATTTCGGAATCCCACATATCCCTTCTCAGCACTCCCCTCCCTGAATGCGCACTGCAAGTTTGAAGGAAAATCAAGATTTTGCTTCGTGCTTCATCTGTGAAGAGCGCCTTATTTGCTCATTTAACCTATTAATAATTTTTCACAAGGAGGCGTGACTTTTGCAATGCTTTTAATTCTAAAAGCCCGTGTAGCCTGTTATATGCTAGTTTATTAAAACTTAATGAAGTCATGGAAAGTGGGCTAATAACAATATTAGCAATAAAGTCAATATCAGATGGCAAAGAAAGACTTTACAACTTTAAGTGAACAAGTATGTTTTCCTACAAAAAATAGGAAATTATACAAATTGTCTCAAGGTTATGAATCAAAAATATTTGCAGCTATTAAAACAAAGCTCTCTCTTGGGGAGGAGCCAAGATGGCTGAATAGGAACAGCTCCGGTCTACAGCTCCCAGCATGAGCAACGCGGAAGAGGGTGATTTCTGCATTTCCCTCTGAGGTACCAGGTTCATCGCACTAGGGAGTGCCAGACAGTAGGCGCAGGTCAGTGGGTGCGCATACCGTGCGCGAGCTGAAGCAGGGCAAGGCATTGCCTCACTTGGGAAGCGCAAGGGATCAGGGAGTTCCCTTTCTGAGTCAAAGAAAGGGGTGACGGATGGCACCTGGAAAATCGGGTCACTCCCACCCGAATACTGCGCTTTTCCGAGGGGCTTAAAAACGGTGCACCACGAGATTATATCCTGCACCTGTCCTGGAGGGTCCTACGCCCGTGGAGTCTCACTGATGGCTAGCACAGCAGTCTGAGATCAAACTGCAAGGCGGCTGCGAGGCTGGGGGAGGGGCGCCCACCATTGCCCAGGCTTGCTTAGGTAAACAAAGCAGCCGGGAAGCTCCAACTGGGTGGAGCCCACCACAGCTCAAGGAGGCCTGCCTGCCTCTGTAGGCTCCACCTCTGGGGGCAGGGCACAGACAAACAAAAAGACAGCAGTAACCTCTGCAGACTTAAATGTCCCTGTCTGACAGCTTTGAAGAGAGCAGTGGTTCTCCCAGCACGCAGCTGGAGATCTGAGAATGGGCAGACTGCCTCCTCAAGTGGGTCCCTGACCCCTAACCCCTCAGCAGCCTAACTGGGAGGCACCCCCCAGCAGGGGCACACTGACACCTCACAAGGCAGGGTATTCCAACAGACCTGCAGCTGAGGGTCCTGTCTGTTAGAAGGAAAACTAACAAACAGAAAGGACATCCACACCAAAAACCCATCTGTACATCACCATCATCAAAGACCAAAAGTAGATAAAACCACAAAGATGGGGGAAAAACTGGAAACTCTAGAAAGCAGAGGGCCTCTCCTCCTCCAAAGGAATGCAGTTCCTCACCAGCAACGGAACAAAGCTGGATGGGGAATGACTGTGACGAGCTGAGAGAAGAAGGCTTCAGACGATCAAATTACTCTGAGCTACGGGAGGACATTCAAACCAAAGGCAAAGAAGTTGAAAACTTTGGAAAAAATTTAGAAGAATGTATAACTAGAATAACCAATACAGAGAAGTGCTTAAAGGAGCTGATGGAGCTGAAAACCAAGGCTGGAGAACTACGTGAAGAATGCAGAAGCCTCAGGAGCCGATGCGATTAACTGGAAGAAAGGGTATCAGCGATGGAAGATGAAATGAATGAAATGAAGTGAGAAGGGAAGTTTAGAGAAAAAAGAATAAAAAGAAATGAGCAAAGCCTCCAAGAAATATGGGACTATGTGAAAAGACCAAATCTACGTCTGATTGGTGTACCTGAAAGTGATGGGGAGAATGGAACAAAGTTGGAAAACACTCTGCAGGATATTATCCAGGAGAACTTCCCCAATCTAGCAAGGCAGGCCAACATTCAGATTCAGGAAATACAGAGAACACCACAAAGATGCTCCTTGAGAAGAGCAACTCCAAGACACATAATTGTCAGATTCAGACACATAATTGTCAGATTCACCAAAGTTGAAATGAAGGAAAAAATGTTAAGGACAGCCAGAGAGAAAGGTCGGGTTACCCCTCAAAGGGAAGCCCATCAGAATAACAGCAGATCTCTCGGCAGAAACCCTACAAGCCAGAAGACAGTGGGGGCCAATATTCAACATTCTTAAAGACAAGAATTTTCAACCCAGAATTTCATATCCAGCCAAACTAAGCTTCATAAGTGAAGGAGAAATTAAATACTTTACAGACAAGCAAATGCTGAGAGATTTTGTCACCACCAGGCCTGCACTAAAAGAGCTCCTGAAGGAAGCACTAAACATGGAAAGGAACAACTGGTACCAGCTGCTGCAAAATCATGCCAAAATGTAAAGACCATCAAGACTAGGAAGAAACTGCATCAACTCATGAGCAAAATAACCAGCTAACATCATAATGACAGGATCAAATTCACACATAACAATATTAACTTTAAATGTAAATGGACTAAATGCTCCAATTAAAAGACACAGACTGGCAAATTGGATAAAGAGTCAAGACCCATCAGTGTGCTGTATTCAGGAAACCCATCTCACGTGCAGAAACACACATAGGCTCAAAATAAAGGGATGGAGGAAGATCTACCAAGCAAATGGAAAACAAAAAAAGGCAGGGGTTGCAATCCTAGTCTCTGATAAAACAGACTTTAAACCAACAAAGATCAAAAGAGACAAAGAAGGCCATTACATAATGGTAAAGGGATCAATTCAACAAGAAGAGCTAACTATCCTAAATATATATGCACCCAATACAGGAGCACCAAGATTCATAAAGCAAGTCCTGAGTGACCTACAAAGAGATTTAGACTTCCACACATTAACAATGGGAGACTTTAACACCCCACTGTCAACATTAGACAGATCAATGAGACAGAAAGTCAACAAGGATACCCAGGAATTGAACTCAGCTCTGCACCAAGCAGACCTAATAGACATCTACAGAACTCCCCACCCCAAATCAACAGAATATACATTTTTTTCAGCACCACACCACACCTATTCCAAAATTGACCACATACTTGGAAGTAAAGCTCTCCCCAGCAAATGTAAAAGAACAGAAATTATAACAAACTATCTCTCAGACCACAGTGCAATCAAACTAGAACTCAGGATTAAGAATCTCGCTCAAAACCACTCAACTACATGGAAACTGAACAACCTGCTCCTGAATGACTACTGGGTACATAACAAAATGAAGGCAGAAATAAAGATGTTCTTTGAAACCAATGAGAACAAAGACACAACATACCAGAATCTCTGGGACACATTCAAAGCAGTGTGTAGAGGGAAATTTATAGCACTAAATGCCCACAAGAGAAAGCAGGAAAGATCCAAAATTGACACCCTAACATCACAATTAAAAGAACTAGAAAAGCAAGAGCAAACACATTCAAAAGCTAGCAGAAGGCAAGAAATAACTAAAATCAGAGCAGAACTGAAGGAAATAGAGACACAAAAAACCCTTCAAAAAATTAATGAATCCAGGAGCTGGTTTTTTGAAAGGATCAACAAAATTGATAGACTGCTAGCAAGACTAATAAAGAAAAAAAGAGAGAAGAATCAAATAGACACAATAAAAAATGCTAAAGGGGATATCACCACCAATCCCACAGAAATACAAACTACCATCAGAGAATACTACAAACACCTCTACGCAAATAAACTAGAAAATCTACAAGAAATGGATAAATTCCTCAACACATACACTCTCCCAAGACTAAACCAGGAAGAAGTTGAATCTCTGAATAGACCCATAACAGGATCTGAAATTGTGGCAATAATCAATAGCTTACCAACCAAAAAGAGTCCAGGACCAGATGGATTGATTCACAGCTGAATTCTACCAGAGGTACAGGGAGGAACTGGTACCATTCCTTCTGAAACTATTCCAATCAATAGAAAAAGAGGGCATCCTCCCTAACTCATTTTATGAGGCCAGCATCATTCTGATACCAAAGCCAGGCAGAGACACAACAAAAAAAGAGAATTTTAGACCAATATGCTTGATGAACATTGATGCAAAAATCCTCAATAAAATACTGGCAAACCGAATCCAGCAGCACATCAAAAAGCTTATCCACCATGATCAAGTGGGCTTCATCCCTGGGATGCAAGGCTGGTTCAATATACGCAAATCAATAAATGTAATCCAGCATATAAACAGAACCAAAGACAAAAACCACATGATTATCTCAATAGATGCAGAAAAGGCCTTTGACAAAATTCAACAACCCTTCATGATAAAAACTCTCAATAAATTAGGTATTGATGGGACATATTTCAAAATAATAAGAGCTATCTGTGACAAACCCACAGGCAATATCATACTGAATGGGTAAAAACTGGAAGCATTCCCTTTGAAAACTGGCACAAGACAGGGATGCCCTCTCTCACCACTCCTATTCAACATAGTGTTGGAAGTTCTGGCCAGGGCAATTAGGCAGGAGAAGGAAATAAAGGGTATTCAATTAGGAAAAGAGGAAGTCAAATTGTCCCTGTTTGCAGACAACATCATTGTATATCTAGAAAACCCCATTGTCTCAGCCCAAAATCTCCTTAAGCTGATAAGCAACTTCAGCAAAGTCTCAGGATACAAAATCAATGTGCAAAAATCACAAACATTCTTATACACCAGCAACAGACAAACAGAGAGCCAAATCATGAGTGAACTCCCGTTCACAATTGCTTCAAAGAGAATAAAATACCTAGGAATCCAACTTACAAGGGATGTGAAGGACCTCTTCAAGGAGAACTACAAACCACTGCTCAAGGAAATAAAAGAGGATACAAACAAATGGAAGAACATTCCATGCTCATGGGTAGGAAGAATCAATATCGTGAAAATGGCCATACTGCCCAAGGTAATTTACAGATTCAATGCCATCCCCATCAAGCTACCAATGCCTTTCTTCACAGAATTGGAAAAAACTACTTTAAAGTTCATATGGAACCAAAAAAGAGCCTGCATCGCCAAGTCAATCCTAAGCCAAAAGAACAAAGCTGGAGGCGTCACGCTACCTGACTTCAAACTATACTACAAGGCTACAGTAACCAAAACAGCATGGTACTGGTACCAAAACAGAGATATAGATCAATGGAACAGAACAGAGCCCTCAGAAATAACACCGCATATCTACAACTATCTGATCTTTGACAAACCTGAGAAAAACAAGCAATGGGGAAAGGATTCCCTATTTAATAAATGGTGCTAGGAAAACTGGCTAGCCATATGTAGAAAGTTGAAACTGGATCCCTTCCTTACACCTTATACAAAAATCAATTCAAGATGGATTAAAGACTTAAATGTTAGACCTAAAACCATAAAAACCCTAGAAGAAAACCTAGGCATTACCATTCAGGTCATAGGCATGGGCATGGACTTCATGCCTAAAACACCAAAAGCAATGGCAACAAAAGACAAAATTGACAAATGGGATCTAATTAAACTAAAGAGCTTCTGCACAGCAAAAGAAACTACCATCAGAGTGAACAGGCAACCTACAAAATGGGAGAAAATTTTCGCAACCTACTCATCTGACAAAGGGCTAATATCCAGAATCTACAATGAACTCAAACTAATTTACAAGAAAAAAACAAACAACCCCATCAAAAAGTGGGCGAAGGACATGAACAGACACTTCTCAAAAGAAGACATTTATGCAGCCAAAAAACACATGAAAAAATGCTCATCATCACTGGCCATCAGAGAAATGCAAATCAAAACCACAATGAGATACCATCTCACACCAGTTAGAATGGCGATCATTAAAAAGTCAGGAAACAACAGGTGCTGGAGAGGATGTGGAGAAACAGGAACACTTTTACACTGTTGGTGGGACTGTAAACTAGTTCAACCATTGTGGAAGTCAGTGTGGCGATTCCTCAGGGATCTAGAACTGGAAATAGCATTTGACCCAGCCATCCCATTACTGGGTATATACCCAAAGGACTATAAATCATGCTGCTATAAAGACACATGCACACGTATGTTTATTGCGGCATTATTCACGATAGCAAAGACTTGGAACCAACCCAAATGTCCAACAATGATAGACTGGATTAAGAAAATGTGGCACATATACACCATGGAATACTATGCAGCCATAGAAAATGATGAGTTCATGTCCTTTGTAGGGACATGGATGAAATTGGAAATCATCATTCTCAGTAAACTATCGCAAGAACAAAAAACCAAACACCGCATATTCTCACTCATAGGTGGGAATTGAACAATGAGATCACATGGACACAGGAAGGGGAATATCACACTCTGGGGACTGTGGTGGGGTGGGGGGAGGGGGGAGGGATAGCATTGGGAGATATACCTAATGCTAGATGACGAGTTAGTGGGTGCAGTGCACCAGCATGGCACATGTATACATATGTAACTAACCTGCACAATGTGCACATGTACCCTAAAACTTAAAGTATAATTAAAAAAAAATAAATAATAATAAAAAAAAACAAAGCTCTCAGCAATATAGGAGTGATCTGTGTTCTCTTAGTAAAAAGATTTACAAACAATTTGTAATGAGAAGATAAATAAATGTAAGTTATATATTATGGTAACTAGTGTGTAGTTCTTTTTATTTTCTTTTTTTTTTTTTTTTTTTTTTTGAGATGGAGTCTCACTCTTATTGCCCAGGCTGGAGTGCAATGGCACGATCTCGGCTCACTGCAACCTCTGCCTTCCAGGTTCAAGCGATTCTCCTGCCTCAGCCTCCCAAGTAGCTGAGATTATAGGTGCCTGCCACCACGCCTGGCTAATTTTTATATTTTTAGTAGAGACGGGGTTTCACCATGTTGGCCAGACTGGTCTCGAACTGCTGACCTCCAGTGATCCATCCACCTCGGCCTCCCAAAGTGCTGGGATTATAGGTGTGAGCTGCCACGCCCAGCCATGTGTATTTATTTCTAGCTTTCTTCCTTAAGTCGTGGCTGACTGTGAGTGTTGTGTGTGTGTATCTGCCTATAGCCCATGCAGGTCTGGGTCAAAAACTGGGATTCCAGCCATCTTGAGGAATTTGACAAAGAGTGGTGGACCACACATAACTTTGCTTCCTTGTGCTGAGTAGCACACCCCATCTCCCACAAGAGGGGTAAGGCTGTCAGTGGTAGTGACTTGGTCCAGGAGGCAGGGGATGCCTTCAGAAAGAAGGAGATCGTCAAGAGAAACTGAGGAGGTGCATGACGTTTGTGTTCAATGCAATCCACGCCTGTGCTACTCAGATCCATTTGCAGTTCCCCATTGTATCCAGCTCTCATCCTATGATACGGAGCCTCTAAGTGTTGTTAAAATGAATTCAGCCTGATTCCTTCCCAAATAGGGTGGGTATATGCCCCATAACTCAGAATTCCCTTTAAGGTGGTGGCCAGTTAGGAGTTGGAAAGATTTCATAAAAGTGTAATCAAAACAAGATACAGTTCATACTACTGTTGATTGTCCCAAAGCTGTAACTGCAGATAATTAGCTCAATTCTCTACTACGTATTTTAGATTTCCCTCATCTAAGCTATCAGTTGGCAGGTCTGTGTTGATGCCTGGTAGAATGAATTAGACCTTCAACAATCAGAGGTTTTAGTTATTCTGCTTTTTTTGTGTTATGATGACTAAAATTCTTGTTAGCATTTATTACTATTTATGGAATTAATATGAAAGTTCATGGCATATCGAAGTAAACCCCTTAAGTTTAAGATGTATTATTTTCAATTGTGTAGTAGCAGCCATAAATCTTCATGGTAATCAATATCAATTATCAGTTAAAAAAAAGTGTCTCGTATCTTTTTCTGTTGGTCTACTGCATGAGGAGCACGAAATGGTCGGGGGCAGTTGGTTTTATTTTAGTGGATTAATTAAAGGGAGGTAAGGTTTCCACACTTCACTTGAACTGGTAAAATGATGAAAACAGTAAAATGTGATAAATTATGTATGTGTGTTTAGTGTAATGCCTACAGCAGCCACTAAAAAACTATACAAAGGGATATACTCAAAAACACCAAATGTTAAAGCAACTCACAAGAAGGCAGGAAAAAGAAAGCATTAATTATATTACATGTAAATGGTCTAAATGCACCAATTAAAAGACAGAAGTTGGCAGGGTAGATTCAAAATAAACATTACCCAACTCTATGTTGTCCACAAGAAACTCACCTCAAATATTACAGCTTAGGTTGAAAGGAAAAGAATGGAGAAAGACATATAAACATTAATGAAAAGAAAGAGACGTGGCTATATATATTTCATATAAGTGGATTTCAGAGTAAAGGAAATTATCAGTGACAGAGAGGGATATTATAATAAAGGGCTCAATCCACCAGGAAGACATAGCAATCCTGAAAACGTATTCATCATACAATTGAAATGCAAAATATGTGAGAAAAAAACTGAAAACTGAAGGAGACATAGACAAATGTTCACGATTATACTTGAAGACTTCAAAACCCCTCTCTCAACAATGATAGAATAACTAGACAGAAGCTCAGTAAGGATATGGGATAACTCTACAACAGCAGTAACCAACAGTATCTATTTGACATTTATAGACCACCCCCTTCAATAACAGCAGAACTAACATTATTTTCAAGTGCTCCCGAATATATACCATGATAGATCATATACTGGGGTATAAGATAAACTTAACAAATCAGCCTAGAAATCAATAACAAAGATTAGGAAAATCTCCAGACACTCAAAAACTAAACAACACATTTATTAATAATCCCTGGGGAAGTTGCAAGTGTAATTTTAAAAAACAACCTTGAGCTGAATTAAAATGAAAATATAACATATCAGAATTTGTGGAACAAAGCTAGAACAATGATAAGAAGAAAATGTATAGCACTGAATACATACATTAGAAAAGAGGAAAGTCTCAAATCAATAATCTAAGTTCCCATTTAAGAAGCCTAGAAAAGAGCAAAATAAATTCAAAGCAAACACAAGGAAGGAAGTAATAATGATAGGATCAAAAATCAATGAAATTGAACATAAAAAACAACAGAGAAAAATCAAAGAAGCGAAGACCCGGTTCTTTGTAAAGATCAATAACAAATCTCTAGCAAGACAAAGAAAAAACAGAGAAGACAATATAAGAACTGAAATAAGGTATATCACTACAGACCCTGCAGACATACAAGAGATAAGAGGATACTATTAGGAATTCTACACACATAATTTTGACAATGAAGATAAAATGAACGAATTCCTCAACAAATACAAACTACCACAACTCATCCAATGTGAAATAGATCATTTGAGTAGACTTACAGCTATTAAGGTAATTGAAATAATAATTGTATAAGGCCTCAAAAGAAATATATAGGTCCAGATGGTTTCACTGGAAAACTCCATCAAATGTTTAAAGAGGAATTAACACAAATTCTACACAATCTCTTCCAAAAATAGAAAAGGAGAGAAGAGATTACCCTGATGCCAAAACCAGATAGAGAGTACAGACATAGAGAACTACAGACCAATACCCTTATGAATATAAATGTAAAAATTCATAATATCAGATAAAATTCAGCAATATATAAAAGAAATTATACACCATGATCAAGTGGGGTTTATTCCAGGTATGCATGGTTGGTTCAATAGTTGAAAGCCAGTCAATCCAATCTAGCATACTAACGGCCTAAAGAATTACATGATCCCACTAATTGATACAGTAAACAGATTTGACAACATTTAACATTCTTTCATAAATTTTTAAAAATAAAACCTGAGAAGGAGAAGAATGAAGAGGAATTTGCTCAACTTGATAAAAAGCATCTACAAAATCCTATGGCTAACATTATACTGTAGGTTATGAGGAAAGACTGGGGACAAATCAAAAATGTTGACTGTCATTACTCTTATTGAATAAAGAACTGGAAGTTATATCCAGTGCAATAAGATAAGGAAATAAAAGGCATACAAACAGAAATAAATGAAATTGTCACCATTTTCAGATGACATGATTCAGAGGACATAGAAAATTCTAAGAAATGTCTTTAAAAAGCTAAAACAAAACAAAAACAAAACCTAAAAAATGCTTATGTGAGTTCAGAAAGGTCACAAAATGCATGATAAACGTACAAAAATCAGCTGTATATCTTACAGTAGCAATAAGCATGCAGACACCAAACTTAAAAATACAAAAGCATTTACAATCACTCAGGAAAATAAAACAGATGTAAATCTGAAAACAAAAACACATGTACAGGACTAGTTTTTTTTGTTTGTCTCAAAAAAAAAAAAAAAAAAAAAAAAACAGAGTCTCACTCTGTCACCAGGCTGGAGTGCAATGGCGGGATCTTGGCTCACTGCAACCTCTGCCCCCCCGGGTTCAAGCGATTCTCCTGCCTCAGCCTCCCAAGTAGCTGGAACTACAGGTGCGCACCACCACACCCAGCTAATTTTTGACATGTACAGGATTTTTATGTTGAAAACTACAAAACACTGCTGAAAGAAATCAAGAAGACCTAGATAAATGGAGAGACAGAACACGTTCATGAATTGTGAAATTTAACATAGCAAAGTTGCCAATTCTCCTCAAATTGAGATTTAGGTTTAAATTCCTATCCGAATTCCAGCAGGATTTTTTTTGTTTTATATATAAACAAGATTATTCTAAAATGTATAAGAAAATATAGAGGAGAGGGCCAAGATGGCTGACTAGAAACAGCTGCAGTCAGAGGCTTCCTCTGAGAAGAATGAAAATGGCAGCTGAGGTATCCAGGTTCTCTCACTGGGACTGATTAGGTGGTTGGCGTGACCCATGAACAGTGAGGAAAAGCAGGGTGATGCGATGGCCCACCTGGGAGCCACACAGGGCAAGGGGAGCTCCCACCCCCAGCCAAGGGAGGTGGCGAGTGATGGTGCTACCCTGGCCAGGGAACCACAGTTTTTCCCCGGATGCGTGCAACCCACAGATCAGGAGATCCCCTTCGGAAGCCCATGCCACCAGGTCCTTGGGTCCCAAGCACAGAGCTGTGCAGACTCTCAGCGGCCACTCAGCTGGAGATTGCTTAAGCCTACTGAATTCCGGTGGGAGGAGGGACTGCCATCATCACTGCAGCTGGTGGCTGCCTAAGAGGACTGAGCTCCCTGCCAGTGTGGTGGCTCACGCCTGTAATCCCAGCACTTTGGGAGGCCAAGGCAGGCAGATCACCAGAGGTCAGGAGTTCGAGACCAGCCTGGCCAACATGGTGAAATTCTGTCTCTACCAAAATACAAAAAAAAAAATTAGCTGGGCAGGATAGTGGGTGCCTGTAATCCCAGCTACTCAGGAGGCTGAGGCAGGAGAATCATCTGAATCCAGGAGGCGGAGGTTGCAGTGAGCCGAGATCATGCCACTGCACTCCAGCCTGGGTGACACCACGAGACTCTGTCTCAAAAAAAAAAAAAAAAACAAGGCTGAGCTCCCAGGGGAGGGGTGGCAGCCATCACTACAGCTCCAGTCAGCTGTTTTTACCCTGCCAGTGCCAGAGAAACTGGACAGTTTAGATCCAGGATGAATTTCCTACAGTGCAGTAAAGCGGCTGTGGTGGATCATGGCCAGACTGCCTGTTTAGGCTGGACCCTGACACATTCCTCCTCGTGGCTTGGCTCCCTGCAGGAATTTCAGCAACTCCAGGCAAGGGAGGACTTCACAATGCAATCACAGTATCAACAACACGAGGACTTCACAATGTAACCAGAAGTACCAATAACCAAACAGACCAAGCAGAGAAAAGAATTTGAGCTTGAAGACTATCTTGAAATAAGCAGACAAGATTGGAGGAAAAAGAATGAAAAGGAACAAACAAAACGTCCAAGAAATGTGGGACTATTTAAAAAGATTGAACCTACGATTGATACAAGTATCTGAAAGAGATGGGGAGAATGGAAACAAGTTGGAAAACACACTTCAGGTTATTATCCAGGAGAACTTCCCCAAGCTAGCAAGACAGGCCAACATTCAAATTCAGGAAATACAGAGAACATCATAGGATACTTCACGAGAAGATTAACCCCAGGACACACTATCATCAGATTCTCCAAGGTCAAAATGAGGGAAAAAAATGTTAACAGCAGCCAGCAAGAAAAGTCAGGTCACCTACAAAGGGAAGCCCATCAGACTAACAGTGGATCTCTCTGCAGAAACCTTAAGCCCAAATAGAGTGGGGGCCAATATTCAACATTCTTAAAATAAAGAGTTTTCAACCCAGAATTTCATATCCAGCCAAACTAAGCTTCATAAGCAAAGGAGAAATAAAATCCTTTACAGACAAGCAAATGCTGAGAGATTTTGTCACCACCAGGCCTGCATTAACAAGAGCTCCTGAAGGAAGCACTAAATATGGAAAGGAAAAACCAGTACCAGCCACTGCAAAAACACACCAAAATATAAGGACCAGTGACACTATGAAGAAACTGCATCAACCAGTGTGCAAAATAACCAGCTAGCATCATGACAGGATCACATTCACACATAACAATATTAACTTTAAATGTAAATGAGCTAAATGCCCCAATTAAAAGACACAGAGTGGCAAATTGCGTAAAGAGTCAAAACCCATCGGCGTGTGCTGTATTCAGGAGACCCATCTAACATGCAAAGACACATATAAGCTCAAAAAAAAAAAAAGGGATAGAGGAAAATTTACCAAGCAAATGGAAAGCAAAACAAGCAGGAGTTGCAATCCTAGTCTCTAACAAAACAGACTTTAAACCAACAAACTTCAAAAAAGACAAAGAAGGGTATTACATAATGGTAAAGGGATGAATGCAACAAGAAGAGCTAACGATCCTAAATATATATGCACCCAATACAGGAGCACTGAGATTCATAAAACAGGTTCTTAGAGACCTTCAAAGACACTTGAAGTCTCCCACTATTATTGTGTGAGAGTCTAACACCCCGCTGTCAATATTAGATAATCAAGACAGAAAATTAAGGATATTCAGGACTTGAATTCAGCCCTGGATCAAGTGGACCGAATAGACATCTATGGAACTCTCCACCCCAAATCAACAGAATATACTTTCTTCTCAGTGCCACGGGGCACTTTTTCTAACATCGACCACATAATTGGAAGTAAAACCCTCCTCAGAAATGCAAAAGAAATGAAATCATAACAGTCTGTCAGACCACAGTGCAATCAAATTAGAACTGAGGATTAAGAAACTCACTCAGAACCACACAACTACATAGAAATTGAACAACCTGCTCCTGAATGACTCCTGGGTAAATAACAAAACTAAGGCAGAAATTAAGAAGTTATTTGAAACCAATGAAAACAAAGAGACAATGTACCAGAATCTCTGGGACACAGCTAAAGCAGTGTTAAAAGGGCAATTTATAGCACTAAATGCCCACATCAGAAGGCCGGAAAGATCTCAGACCAACACCCTAACATCACAATTAAAAGAATTAGAGAAGAAAGAGCAAACGAATCCAAAAGCTAGCAGAAGACCAGAAATAACTAAGATCAGAGTGGAACTGAAGGAGGTAGAGACACGAGAAAACTTTCAAAAAATCAGTTAATCCAGGAGCTGGTTTTTTTTTTTTTTTAAAAAGTTAACAAAATACATAGACCACTAGCTAGACAAATAAAGAAAAAGAGAGAGAAGAATCAAATAGACAAAATATAAATGATATAAGGGATATCACCACTCACCCCCTCCCCCAGAAATACAAACTACCATCAAAGAATGCTATAAATACCTCTACACAAATAAACTAGAAAATCTAGAAGAAATGGATAAATTTGTGAATGCATACACCCTCCCAAGACTAAACCAGGAAGAAGTAGAATCCCTGAATAGACCAATAACAACTACTGAAATTGAGGCAGTAACGAATAGCCTACCAACCCAAAACTGCCCAGGACCACCAGATTGTTCCTCTGGTAGAATTCGGCTGTGAATCAAAGAGGAGTTGCTACCATTCCTTCTGAAACTATTCCAAACAATTGAAAAGGAGGGACTCCTCCCTAACTCATTTTATGAGGCCAGCATCATCCTGATACTAAAACCTGGCAGAGACACAACAAAAAAAGAAAACTTCAGACCAACATCCCTGATGAACACTGATGCAAAAATCCTCAATAAAATACTGGCAAACTGAATCCAGCAGCACATCAAAAAGCTTATCCACCACAATCAAGTCGGCTTCATCCCTGGGATGCAAGTCTGGGTCAACATATGCAAATCAATAAATGTAATCCATCAGATAAACAGAACCAATGACAAAAACCACATGCTTAATAGATGCAGAAAAGGGCTTCGATAAAATTCGACATCGCATCATGTTAAAAACTCTCAATAAACTAGATATTAATGGAATATATCTCAATATAATAAGAGCCATCTATGACAACCCATAGCCAACATCATACTGAATGGGCAAAAGCTGGAAGCAGTCCCTTTGAAAACTGGCACAAGACAAGGATGCCCTCTCTCGCCACTCCTATTCAACACAGTATTGGAAGTTCTGGCCAGGGCAATCAGGCAAGAGAAAGAAGTAAAGGGTATTCAAATAGGAAGAGAATCTGTTTGCAGACAACATGATTCTATATTTAGAAAACCCCATAGTCTCAGCCCAAAAACTCCTTAAGCTGATAAGCAGCTTCAGCAAAATCTCAAGATACAAAATCAATGTGCAAAAATCACAGGCATTTCTATACACCAACAATAGACAAGCCAAGAGCCAAATCATGAATGAGTTCCCATTCACAATTGCTACAAAGAGAATAAAATACCTAGGAATACAGCTTACAAGGGACGTGAAGGACCTCTTCAAGGGAAACTAAGAACCACTGTTCAGGGAAATAAGAGAGGACACAAAAAATGGAAAAACATTCCATCCTCATTTATAGGAAGAATCAATAACATGAAAATGGACATACTGCCCAAAGTAATTTATAGATTCAATGCTATTTCCATCAAACTGCTATTGACATTCTTCACAGAATTAGAAAACACTTCTTTAAAATTTCATATGGAACCAACAGAAGAGCCCGTATAGCCAAGACAATCCTAAGCAAAAAAAAAAAAAAAAAAAAAAAAAAAAAAAAAAAAGCTGGACGCATCATGCTACTTGACTTCAAACTATACTACAAGGCTACAATAACCAAAACAGCATGGTAGCATGGTACTGGTACCAAAACAGACACATAGCCCAATGGAACAGAACAGAGACCTCAGAAATAACACCACACATCTACAACCATCTGATCTTTGACAAACCTGACACAAACAAGCAATGGGGAAAGGATTCCCTATTTAATAAATGGTGTTGGGAAAACTGGCTAGCCATATGCAGAAAAATGAAACTGGACCCCTTCCTTACACCTTATAAAAAATTAACTCAAGATGGATTAGACTTAAACATAAGACCTCAACCCATAAAAACCCTAGAAGGAAACCTAGGCAATATCATCCAGGACATAGGTATGGGCAAAGACTTCATGACTACAACACCAAAAGCAATGGCAACAAAAGCCAAAATTGACAAGTGGAATCTAAAGAGCTTCTGCACAGCAAAAGAAACTATCATCAGAGTAAACAGGCAACCTACAGAATGGGAGAAAATTTTTGCAATCTATCCATTTGACAAAGGGCTAATATCCAGAATCTACAAAGAATTTAAATTTACAGGAAAAAAACAACCCCATCAAAAAGTGGGCAAAGGATATGAACAGACACTTCTCAAAAGAAGACATTTATGCAGCCAACAAACATATGAAAAAAACCTCATCATCAATGGTCATTAGAGAAATGCAAATCAAAACTACAATGTGATACCGTCTCACACCAGTTAAAATGGCGATCATTAAAAAGTCAGGAAACAACAGATGCTGGAGAGGATGTGGAGAAATAGGAATGCTTTTACACTGTTGGTGGGAGTGTAAATTAGTTCAACCATTGTGGAAGACAGTGTGGCGACTCCTCAAGGATCTAGAACCGGAAATACCATTTGACCCAGCAATCCCATTACTGGGTATATACCCAAAGGATTATAAATCATTCTACTATAAAGACACATGCACACGTATATTTACTGTGGCACTGTTCACAATAGCAAAGACTTGGAACCAACCCAAATGCCCATCAACGATAGACTGGATAAAGAAAATGTGGCACATATACACAATGGAATACTATGCAGCCATAAAAAAGGTATGAGTTCCTTTCCTTTGCAGGGACATGGATGAAGCTGGAAACCATCATTCTCAGCAAACTAACACAGGAACAGAAAACCAAACACTGCATGTTCTCACTCATAAGTGGGAGTTGAACAATGAGAACCCATGGACACAGGGAAGGGAACATCACACACTGGGGCCTGTGAGGGGGTGGGGGGCTATTGGAGGGATAGCATTAGGAGAAATACCTAATGTAGATGATGGGTTGATGGGTACAGCAAACTACCATGGCACGTGTATACCTACATAACAAACCTGCATGTTCTGCACATGTACCCCAGAACTTAAAGTATAATAAAAAAAGAAACTGACCTGGGGAAATATTTTTGTGCTTACTTCATAGTTTAAACTAGACTATATCTAAAGATAATACAAATCCTAAAATCTTGCTAAGACAGTCATTAATGAATAATAAAAATAAAATAAAAACAAAAGCAAAGGAGAGAATGACCACAGGGTTGAGGATGAGACAAAATTCAAGAGGAGAGATGGAGGAATAGAACTAGGGTTATCACATAGTTAGATGTAGGTTATTACTACAGTCCTAATATTCAGATTAAGTGGTGAGTCCAGGGGTGTTTATGAAATTATGATTGATAGTTACATAGATACATAGATAAAAGCTCTGAATGAAACAATGAAGAGAGCTTCTCTTTAATCAAGAATGGATAGATAAGAGAGCAGTAAGGGAGGAGGGGAGAGTGATGAGATCAGGAGTTTAATTAGACAGCTCTTAAAGCAATCTAGGGAAGAGAGAGTGAAGATACAAAATGAATACAAGACTAATTTTGCTGTTATGGATAAACTCAGTAACATCAAATGAAATTAGGTGTTTATTGCCCATAGTGAAATAATAAATACCAAAGAGGATAGATACTATATAAGGAGGTATGCTCCTTTGCATCTACGATCTAGATGCAAAGGTTATGTGGAAATAGAAACCACAGAATGAATTATTATGATAGCAATAAGATGTCTACAAGATTTTGAGTTTGAGTCACTAAAAGGAAAAAGATGCCCTTAATGACAGTAGTGAACAAAAGAGTAATTTAAGAAAAAAATAGTTCCATTTTGGGTGTGTTTTTAGTGTTCCTGTGACTCTTGCGGATGTATTGAATTAAATAGTAGAATGAAGACACAAAGCTTTGGAGCAAAATTAACAGAACATGGATCAGAGGGGAGCTGAGAAGTCAAGTTTTCAACAAAGAGGCTTGCAGAATGACTACAAGAAAGGGAGCCAGGCTGGAGAATGAGGATTCTAGTTGGGGAAGGAAGATATTTGTACAGTCAAGACTTGATGTCCCTCCAAGTCAAACTATGTGTCTCTCTCCCTTTTATATCAGTCAAGGGACATAGCACAGTGTATTGTCCTGCACTACTGAGCACTCAAATACTTGTTTTTGAAAAAAATGAAACAAGAAAGAAAGTGATAAGTGCTGCAAAAGAAGTTAATGTGCCACGTAGGTTCAGAGAAAGTAGCCATTTCATTACATATGAAATGTATGTATGCATGTGGGTGTGTGCATTTCGTCTATCACATATATTATTGTCTCTTTGAATTTTCAAAATAGTCCTGTGGCACAGATGGCAATAGCCCTCTTTCCAGATGAAGTCACATCTCTCAAAGATGAAGTGATTTAGCCCATGTCTTTCAATTAGAAAAATGCAGATCTTGTATTTGAGCCTAGTTTTCCTCATGCTGAATGCTCTTCCTCTGCCTCCACAGCTGGCCTGTAGAGGGAATATAGAATAATAAAGAGAGATATCTAAAGAAGTCAGGATGTGTGCACATGCAGGAAACATGGCTAGAACTTTAACAAGCAGAGGGGACACTCCAGCCATGGTAATGGTCCCTTTTGTAATTCCTATTTATTTATTACTTTTTAAGTTATTCCCCTTTATCTTATGTTTTCATTCGTGGTTGTAGGATTTCGATATACATGCTTGGCTTCTCACAGTCCATTTACAGTTAATATCACACCACCTCATGTAAAATGTAGAAGCTCTGTATTTGCATAATCTCATTTATTGCTCCAATGCCTTTTGCTAGATGCTATATATATAACATCTATCTACATTACAAAGCAACCAAATCAATGTCATAATTTTTCATTATTGTTTACATTTTTCAAAATGTTGTGGGTACATAGGTGTGTATATTTATGGGGTACATGAGATATTTTGATACAGGCATACAGTGTGTAATAATCACATCAGGGTAAGTGGTGTATCCATCACCTCAAGTATTTATCCGCTGTGTTACAAACAATCCAATTATACTTAGTTATTTTTAATGTATGATTGAATTGACTATAGTGATGGTATTGTGCTATCAAATACTAGATCTTCTTCATTCTCTAAAAGATAAAAGGGGGTCCTTGCAAATGCTCATCTGGTCAAACTAAGAACACATGAGTTGGATTTGGGCTCCCTTTATGTTCTACCTCTCCAGGTTTTAAGAAAAGAAGTGAAATAGGAAGAAGGACTAACACAGATGACTTTTCCAACTCCAAGACCTGCATTGCTCTCTTCCCAACTTTTGTTCATTCAGCTGCACCAGTAAGCATTCCACTTTGATGAATGGATTGAACATCAAATACCACAGCTAAGCCATGTCATGTGTCTGGAAGACAGAATATGGATTTCATGTATTTCTACTTTCTTCTTAAACAAGCAGCTTATTCCCTTCCTTTTACCAAAGGTAGAAAAAAAATAAACTAGATTTTTTTAAGCATAAAATTAGGTGGTTGTTCTTTTGTTCAATCCAATGGAATAATATATTTAAACTATTATACTGCTGATTTAAAGGTATATCATAATTATACCCCTAGAACATACAAGACATTGGCCACTGTCCCAAAGAGATATCAAGAATAACCCATATGCCCAAGTTATCCAAATTCTATGCTTCTTTATTCTCCAGATTCCCTGGATAGATCAACTGGGTTAGGGAGACTCATGGGGCCATTTCTACAGGAGAAAACAGAGACTCCATTTTCTGGGTGTCATTTCACTTTCCACCTGCCGCATGGAGCTGTTGATGCCACATCTGCCAGAATGGTGTTCAGGTTTCTGGCACCTGCCATGTTTAGGGATGTTCAGATTCTTATCTCTGCTCTCTCCAGTCCAGAGAAGATAAAAATAGGGCAAGTGAGCCTGCACCAACATAGTCTAAGCCTTGCTTCTCGGGTTCTCACGTCTGGAAGAAGAAAAGATGGCATAAGCGTATCTTCCTGCACTAACACAGGCGCGTACACACTCTTGCTCACACACAGCATTAAGACATTAGAAGGATGTGGCTCCAAACATACAAGTGTCTCTGCTGTTTATGGAATCTTCATCAAAGAGAAGCTGCATTATACTGCATTTTCTTCTGTTTTATACATTTTATGAGCCCATGGTTTGCTTTTGGGGTAAGACTTCCTAATTAATTTATTTTTCAATAAGGAGTACATTCACATATTCAAACTCCAAAATGTGCTAAAAGGTACACATGGAAATCGTTTTTCTCTCCTGTCTCTCATCCAATTCCATACCTCTAACAAGTAATCATTGTTATTGGTTTCCTGTTTATTCTTCCAGAATTTTTAAATAAACATAATAGCTAAAATCATTCATATGACTTTGGAGCCAACAATAGTTTACACCATCTGGCCCTTTTCATGGTCCTACAGGCCTCTATCTGAACTACCCTGGAAAGCTCCAGAAAACAAAAATCCACTCTTTGCTTGTGAACTTGGAATACCAAAATTCTTCTGAGACTCCAGAGGTGTCGTGGGCCGGTTCCCAGTGCCTTATCCTCTCTTGGACCCGATCACCACAGGGATCCAGCGCTGGATTCCTAATCCCCTTGGGTTTGGGGCATCTCCCAGAATTAATTACCTCCAATTTAACATGTTTTGAAATTGACCCAACCTGTCACTAAATATAGCAGGACCCTAATTCCAGGTGCTGATGAAATTATAAGGACTCATTTCTCATGGTCTCCGTGAATAAGGAAAGTGAACAGACATTAGAGCAAATTTTAAGTAAGTAGAAAAGGGGCAGGATGTGATTATCAGGCTCTGTGTGGGGTTCTGTGAATGCAGCTTCCCAAGATACATGTGCTGGCATGATCCTGATCTTGACCTGGAGCTTTTGTCCCTTACTCTCAGAATGGACAAAGATAAGAGGTTCTCTAATCCTGTGAGACAAAAGGAGGAATTGAAGGAGAGGTAGTGACGTCAAGAGTCATCATTCAACTCACCCCGAGTCTGAAGCGGTTTTCCTTTTGGTGCCTTTAAAAGGAGTTTTTGTCACGTTCCTGTCCCCGTCTTCAGGGGGAGAGATGCAGGTGAAGCAGGGAGAATTCTGACAGTGACAGCCTGGGAACTGGCGAGAACGATCGGGTGAGGACTAGAGGAGCTTCTTTTTTTTTTTTTTTTTTTTTTTGAGATGGAGTCTCACTCTTATTGCCCAGGCTGGAGTGCAATGGCACGATCTCGGCTCACTACAACCTCCGCCTTCCAGGTTCAAGCGATTCTCCTGCCTCAGCCTCCCAAGTAGCTGGAATTACAGGCACCCGCCACCACGCCCAGCTAATTTTTGTATTTTTAGTAGAGATGGGGTTTCACCATGTTGGCCAGGCTGGTCTCGATCTCCTGACCTCGTGATCCGCCTGCTTCGGCCTCCCAAAGTGCTGGGATTCCAGGCGTGAGGCACCGCGCCCGGCCTGGCTTCTTTTTTCTTGTCCCTTCTCCGGCCCATTCCAGCCTTTGGTGCATTGAGAGCCCGTCTCTCAAAATCAGCCCTGTAACCATAACAATGACATGATGCTGCTTTCATAGCCAAAAAGGCCAAAGACCCAGATCCTCAGGACCTTACAGACAATCAGAGTGATTGTGAAATGGGAGAGCAGGAAGCAACAGAGACCTCTGTCCAAACAATCCCCTGATGAGCCCTTTCTCTGCAGGAGACACGGATGCAGTCACACCCCGATGTCCACACCATATGCACACTCTTGCCCACACAGAACACTGACGCCTTAGAAGGATGAGCCTTCAGCCATACGGTTCCTCTGCTATTTGTGGAATCTTCGTCAAAGAGAAGCTGCATTCGACTGCATTTTCTTCCATTTTATACATTTTATGAGCTTGTGGCTTGCCTTTGGGGTAAGATTTTCTTAAGTAATTTATTTTTCAGTAAGTAGTACATTCTCATAGTCAGACTTCAAAAAGTGCTGAAAGGTAGATATGAACATCTTTCTCCCCTCCTGCCTTTCATCTACCCAGTTCTGTGCCTGTAACAAGTAATCGCTGTTACTGGTTTCCTGTTTAATTCTTCCAGAAAGTTTTAATGAACATACTAGACAATATATTGCATGTTATTTTGGAAGGTGGAGTTAAAGTGTTATTTGTGACCAAAATAAGAATAGGGACTTGAGTTGTGTCCTGATCACTCCGGTCCCCCACCACATCCTTATTCCCTCTGGTTTGTTTTTAACCTTATAACTTTCACTTCTTTCCTCCTTGCATGTTTCTTTCTTCATCAGTGGGGAGCATAAGTTCTCTACACTTTATTTCCACCTTCAAACTTGAACCTGGGTCCTAAGGCATCCAAACTAAGTTCACCAAAAATTGTAATCCATCTACCACAGACAAAATGTCTTCTAAAACAGCACATAGCTAATATAGAATATAAGAACGATTTTATTTTGAGTTGTTGGAGTTAGGGTTCCTAATAAGCCTAAGAAAATGCCTGCTGACTCCACGTGAAAAGAAAGAAGGACGATGCATGGAAAGGGTTTTCTATGTGGACGAAGGGCTGGCCATTCACTGGGCACGTGGTTGTCTAAAAGTTGAGACCTAAAGGTCTAAAAGGAGAAGGAAGGAAATAAGATCTCTGGTCAGTGACTTGGGGACCAAGAGAAAAAATGGAGGGGAAACGGGCTGAGGTTTCCATCTCTGCTAAACTAGAAACAGCCAAGAGCCCCACGATGAAGGAGGGTGAGGATTCTAAGGCCTTTTTAATCTGCGTAAGTCAATGAAAGGCTTGTCCTACATGAGGGAGAGGTGAGAATCAATTCCAGGCACCACAAAAAGCAACAGCTGTTAAAGTGAGGGAGCTGCAGGGGTGATCGTGCTCACCAGGGCGTCGGGAGAGCCTTGTAGATGCACCTGTAAATATGCACTGAGGCTGGCACGGTGCCTCACGCTTGTAATCCCAGCAATTTGGGAGGCCGAGGCAGTTGGATCATTTGAGTCCAGGAGTTCGAGACCAGCCTGGCCAGCGTGGCAAAACCCCATCTCTACTAAAAATAGAAAAATTAGCCAAGTGTGGTGTCATGTGCCTGGAATCCCAGCTACTCGGGAGGCTGGGGCAGGAGAATCGCTTGAACCCAGGAGGCAGAGCCTTTCATTGACTTAGGCAGATTAAAAAGGTGAGATTGCGCCACTGCATGCCAGCCTGGATGACAGAGTGAGACTCTGTCTTAAAAAAAAAAAAAATGCACTGAGCCCCACGAATCCACCCACTTCACCTAGAGCTCTGTCTTGGGAGGATGAGGAAGGCAGAGGCTAATAAACACATGCCTTGAGTGGTAATGGGGACTCTTGGTAGGGAGTAAGGGAAACATCACCTACTATGACCACATTTTGGCCAAGAACACGCAAGGGGGAGACCTTGGAGATTTCAGCGGCTGGCAGATAAAATGATTAAAGAAGACCACGTGGGCAGGTGAGAAGAACAAGAAGCTTGGGATTAAACAGTGGAGGCTGCATCCAGGCTCTGCCACTTGCTGGATGTGACTTAAGGCTCAAGGGATTCTTCGTTTTTCTATGAATGAAGGAAAGATACCCTTTTCTCATTAATGGAACATAACACTTTTAAGAATATTAATTATTTCCTTAATAAATGCAAAAAGTACCTTCCTACTTTGTTTTTTTACTTTGCATGTGATCTTTTTCTTTAAAAGAATTTTATTATTATTATTATACTTTAAGTTTTAGGGTACATGTGCACAACATGCAGGTTTGTTACATATGTATACATGTGCCATGTTGGTGTCCTGCACCCATTAACTCGTCAATGCTATTCCCTCCCCCCTCCCCCCACCCCACAACAGTCCCCAGAGTGTGATGTTCCCCTTCCTGTGTCCATGTGTTCTCATTGTTCAATTCCCATCTATGAGTGAGAACATGCGGTGTTTGGTTTTTTGTCCTTGCAATAGTTTACTGAGAATGATGATTTCCAATTTCATCCATGTCCCTACAAAGGACATGAACTCATCATTTTTATGGCTGCATAGTATTCCATGGTGTATTTTTAATTTAATTTGATCAAACCAATTATTCCTTTCCTTTCTTGTTTTCTTCACTGTTTTTTACTTAGAAAGTCCACCCTTGTCCTGAGAGTAAATATTGTGCTGCATTTTCTCCTGGTTGCTTTAGAGTTACATCTGCAGGGAAAATGCTTTAACCATCTGAAACTTATTCAGGTAAGTGCTATTAGGTTGGAATTTAAATTAATTTTCCAGAGACTTAACCAGCTTGTCCCAGCATTGTTCGTTCAATCTCTTCTTCCTTTTGATTGGCAGTGCCACTGTTAGTAAAGCAAAGTCTGAGGAATACTGTGCTCTGCTTCTGGGTTTTCTGTTTTTTCCTTTGATGAATTGTATTGAGGAGAGAAGTAACATATACCACAGTCCCTGGGGCATCCACATACTAGCAGAAGATAGTTCGGTAAGACATAGCCATGTTCAGGCCAGGCACGGTGACTCACGCCTGTAATCCCAGCACTTTGGGAGGCCAAGGTGGGCAGATCACCTGAGGTCAGGAGTTTGAAACTAGCCTGGCCAATGAGGAGAAACCCCATCTTTACTAAAAATACAAAAAAAAAAAAAATAGCCGGGTGTGGTGGCGTGTGCCTGTAGTCCCAGCTACTTGGGAGGCTGAAGCAGCAGAATTGCTTGAACCCAGGAGGCAGAGGTTGCAGTGAGCCAAGATTCTGCCACGGCACTCCAGCCTGGGTGACAGAGTGAGACTCCGTCTCAAAAATAAATAAATAAGAAATATCCATGGTCAGAGAGAGAATAAGACATAAGATGCCACTATTGCCTAGTAAGTAGTAATTTTAGTGTACGTAACTAAGGCTTACAAATCCATAGGTTATATTAAACTCTGAAGGTAAAAAAAAGCGGCACAGGGAAACTGATTCCGTGGGTTAATCACTCAGCTGAAACACTGTTCCATCCCAAGAATTTCACCTAGAAAGAATGCATTTGTTTGGAACACTTATCTCTCTGTAACCGTAGTGTTTCCCTACATATTCCTATGGCCAGGACTCCATTAACTCAAAGCTACCACTGAACCTACTAACAAAAAGGTTGGCTGGGTGTGGTGGCTCATGCCTGTAATCCCAGCACTTTGGGAGGCCGAGGCAGGTGGGTCACCTGAGGTCAGGAGTTCAAGTCCAGCCTGGCCAATGTGATGAAACCCCATCTCTACTAAAAATACAAAAAAAAAAAAAAAAAAAATAGCCAGGTGTGGTAGCAGTGGCCTGTAATCCCAGCTACTCAGGAGGCTGAGACAAGGGAATCACTTGAGCCCAGCAGGTGGAGACTGCAGTGAGCTGAGTTCGTGCTACTGCACTCCAGCCTGGGTGACAGAGTGAGACTCCATCTCAAAAATCATAACAATAATAATAAAGGTTCAGGCTAATTCTTATGCCTGATATTACCTCTATAGCAAAGCCCCTTTCCATTCTTCCCACTCTTTCCATTCTCTGGGGTTTATGTATTTACATGATAGATTCATACTGAGCATCTGTGTTGTACCAGCCTCAAGGCTAATGCTAGATTTCAAAGCTGAGCCAATTAGGCACCATCTCTGCCTACTCCCAGTGATGCTCACAGCAGAATGAGGGACACTCATATAAACAGACACTCAGAATCCAAGGTGACACGTGCTGTGATGGGGGAGGCACTGCATTAGGAAGGTCACGAACCTGAGTTTCTGGTGAGAGGATGAGTTGGGAAAGACTTCCCAGAAGAGGTGACATCTAAGGTGAGACCTGAAGCTTAGCTCGTCTGATAAATGGGATGGGAAAAACTATTTCAGCCTGAGAAAGCCTAAAGGTGAGGGAGTATCTGGGCCTTTAAAATAATTGAAACTATGATTAGTGCATAAAGTGTGGAGTGGAGGAGGGAGTTTCATGAGGAACTGGGGATGTCTGTAATAAATGACGGTAAGATCCAGGACATTCAGCCGTGTTCAGTTTAGAGTTTATCCTGGGAGTAATGAGGAGTGTATGAAGGATTTTTCAAGCAGAAAGACAAGAGTCGAATTTGATTTTTAGCAAGCCTATTCTCTGTGTATTTAGAACAGCAGGTGGCAGGTGGGCATACCTGGGGGCATGGAGATCAACTGCCCAAATCCAAGTGAGAAATCACAGTGCCCTGAATGACATGAGCTGCAGCTGGGACTGATGGTGACCAGTAAACAGAGAGACGTCAGTAAATTGTAGCCATATTGAGAAGGTAAAATTGCCAGGCTTTGGTGGTGGTTGGATGTAGGCAGGGAGGGAGAAACGTGGGTCAATAATGACGCTCAGGTTTCTGGCCAGACCCGCTGTGTAGATAACAGTGATAATGATTTCCATGTTAGCCATGCTTTTCCCAATTCCAAAACCCCTTTCCAGGAGCTGTCTTTTTAATTATTGGTACAATGGGCTCATTTGACCTGTAAAATCTTGGGTTGTATAAATGTCATAGTTTCTACATGAACACTACCAGAGCAAAGCCAGCAAGCCCCTCCAGCCCAGCCCCAAAATACACATATTGGCTTAATGCTTATGGAATAAATTTAAAAGCCTCTCATTGCATTACAAACAAATCTGTGGTTTCTCATAGCACCAAGCACAGGAATTTGCAAATATTTAGTCGAACCCTATGAAATGGCCATTTTTGCAGGTCCCAAAGAGTCAAATAGTGGAGATTTCCTATGATCCAACCTCACACTAGAAGATCAACACTGGAATATTGCATAATTTTCAGAGTTCACAATCCAGGGCTTACCAACGTCACCCAATTAACCCAACTTTCTTCCTACAGACAAATGGAGGGGAAAAATCTGACCAGCATCTCAGAATGTTTCCTCCTGGGGTTCTCTGAGCAGCTGGAGGAGCAGAAGCCCCTCTTTGGGTCCTTCCTGTTCATGTACTTGGTCACGGTGGCAGGCAACCTCCTCATCATTCTAGTCATCATTACTGACACTCAACTCCATACCCCCATGTACTTCTTTCTAGCCAACCTCTCCCTTGCAGATGCCTGCTTTGTGTCCACCACAGTCCCTAAGATGCTGGCAAACATACAGATCCAGAGTCAGGCCATCTCCTACTCAGGGTGTCTACTACAGTTGTATTTTTTCATGTTATTTGTGATGCTGGAGGCATTCCTCTTGGCGGTCATGGCCTATGACTGCTACGTGGCCATATGCCACCCACTTCATTACATTCTGATCATGAGCCCTGGGCTCTGCATCTTCCTCGTGTCTGCATCCTGGATCATGAATGCCCTCCACTCCCTTCTACACACACTTCTGATGAACAGCCTGTCCTTCTGCGCAAACCATGAGATCCCACACTTCTTCTGTGACATCAATCCCCTCCTGAGTCTGTCCTGCACAGACCCCTTCACCAATGAGCTGGTGATCTTCATCACTGGGGGTCTCACAGGACTCATTTGTGTGCTTTGCCTGATTATCTCTTACACGAACGTTTTCTCGACCATCCTGAAGATCCCATCAGCTCAGGGGAAGCGGAAAGCCTTTTCCACCTGCAGCTCTCATCTCTCCGTGGTCTCTCTCTTCTTTGGGACTTCTTTTTGTGTTGATTTCAGTTCTCCCTCAACCCACTCGGCCCAGAAGGACACAGTTGCATCAGTGATGTACACAGTGGTAACTCCAATGTTGAATCCCTTTATCTACAGTTTGAGGAACCAAGAAATAAAGTCTTCCCTGAGAAAGTTAATCTGGGTTCGGAAAATTCATTCCCCTTAGTGGTAGTGACTTGACATCCAATATGGGGGTCTCCATGCACCTGCGTTCACCACAGTAAGCAGTGAAGAATGAAAGATGGAGAGAATCTAGAGACCTCTGTTCCAGTACCTACGATCTGAACCTGAAATATTCATGTCTAAGCTACAGGACTGCATCATAACCCATCATCAGGCCAATGTCACAGGTGAAGTTCTTACAATTATGTTCTAAAACCACAGCCATCCAGATGTATAATATAATGTCATGCCTTATTATATTTACTATAGTTAATAATATTGATGATTTAATAATGTTATTAGTTAATGCTTTTTAAACAACATGGGACAGCTCATGACTGAAATAAGGGAATATCTGGCTGGGCTGTTGTATAGGGCCAAGAATAAAATTCAGGGAAGGACGACCTTCCCCCAGCATCACTGTGATCCTGATCACTCGGATCCCCACCCACAGTGTTTCTGCCACAGGCACTGCCCGTATCTGTGATGCTCCCATGCTCAGTGATGAGGAACTGGGTCTAGGAAGGGCTTGATGGAGATGGCATCTTCAGACAGACTCACTGCAGTGTCTTACCAGGCCTCCAAGACCCATAATCCTCCTGCCACCTTAGACTTCATGTGAAAACCTCAGGTTCCTCTTCAGGGCAATTTTTTCCACACTCATTTCATCTCTGCAGCCCCAATGCTTACCACATGGCGTAATGCCTGGTACCATTGATAGGTGCTGAATCCCACTGAAATGGTTACAACTTAAAGTTAGGGGAAAAGAATGATTTTTATGGACACTTTATGCTCTCCTGCCTGAATGATTAAAGCCTCCTCCTAGTTGGTCTTCAGTCCTCAGTCTACCCGCCTTCCATCAACTCTGTACACCATAATCAGATTAATCTTCATAGGGTACCATTATATCACTAAGAGAAATGTCCAGTGGCTTGAAACTGCCTGCAGAATCAACTTCCAGCTGTTTACCGTAGCATGCGAGCCCAGTGCCACCAGTTCATAACTGATGTCCACAGTTAACCACACTCTTCCGTATTTCTCCCAAGGTCAACTCAGGCCAACGGTTTCAGAATACATTGATTATTGTGCATGGTTGCCAAAAACGACTTGGAAAGCTTTGTCAGTAGACGTTGTGGCAAGACTCTGTACAGTACGTTACAGCCACAACCAATACGTTTCTATAGGAAAATAAAATGTCACAACTGGGTGCTGTTTTTCATTCTTGTTGTCTGTTTACCTTCAGGTATCTGACTGCAGGCTGCTGTGCCATAGATGGTAATTGCTGTAGATAATAGCAATTCTAGCTCACCAGCTCCCTATTCACCTTATCTGAAGCCCAGACACGATCGTCTGATAATAAAAGGTAGTAGAGCAAAGTGGTAAGCAGCGTGGACGCTGTGGAATCAAGTTCAAACCCCGGCTTTGCCACGTTTAAGCTGTGTGATCCTAGGAAATTATTTAATGTTTGGAAAAAAAAAAAAAAAAGAAAAAGCCTACCTCATTGTGTTGTAAGTTTAAATATGATAATATATGTAAAGCATTCTCTGTGATAATTAAATGAAATGTGCATAAATACACATACAGGGTTAACTCCTAGTACGTAGTGTATTTTCAATCGGTGTCAGCCATTGAGGTAGAAGCTCTGAAGCAGGTTCACTGTGCACCGGTTACCAACTTGTCCGAGTCGAGTGAAACAGAACACCCACACAGACAACAAGTGACATCAAGCACGTTTATTATTCACAGATAGGCAGCAAGGAACAACAGACGCCTAGGATTCACCTCGAGCTGGTCCCCCAAGGCTCAGAAAAGCTGCACAGGGGGAATGAGTCTCACATGCAGGTACTCCACTTACACTACAGCTGAGAGACCCTATAAGGCAGCCCACCTTGGGCCTTACACCCTGGGGGTCACAGGATCCACTTGGCTAAACGGCTGAAGAACATTTCTTTTTTATTTTTTTATTATTTTTTTTTTTTTGCTTTTGCTTTAAGTTCTGGGATACAAGTGCAGGACGTGCAGGTTTGTTACATAGGTACACACGTGCCATGGTGGTTTGCTGCACCTATCAACCTGTCATCTAGGTTTTAACCCCCGCATGCATTAGGTATTTGTCCTAATGCTCTCCCTCCCCTTGCCCCCTATCCCCCACGACAAGTCCCGGTGTGTGATGTTCCCCTCCCTGTGCCAATGTGTTCTCATTGTTCAACTTCCACTTATGAGTGAGAACATGTGGTGTTTGGTTTTCTATAACATCCTATTTCTAGGGCAAGTGGATCAGAACCTGGGCTGTTGCATCCAGCTCTTCCCTATCTCAGGATGTCACATTCTACAGTTATTCTGGAAAACTATAAGCAAGAAAAGGGGGAAACCTGGTTCATTCAAGGCCACCCAGAGAACTGTCCTGCATTAGCCCTTCTTAAAATGAAAGCTGAGCAGTGGCAGATAAAGTGAATCCACTCCTCGGAACTGCGAATAAGGAATGACTTATTGCCCGCACTGTGAACCGGGAAGGGACACTGCTGAAATTACACTTTTGGGGACATTGTGGCATTTAATGAGGAATTACCTACCTACAGAGATTCATTTGCAAGAAAGATTGCAACCTACCTTTCAAATAATGCATACTAGGTACTTAACAGTAAAACTCTGCCTACTTAATTTAAAATACAAAAGTTTTTACATCATCCCATATTCTCTCCTAATTCATTGACAGACATGCACCTTTCACTGTTTAAATTAACATGCATCCATACTTTTAGTTCTACCTTTTTAACTTAAATTATTTGTTACTCTTTTATATGTATTTTTTGTACAAGAATGTCCATGTAACAACACAGTTTACATGTTTGTCATATAGTATTTGAGGTGTGCCTATATACTTTTTTTTTTTTTGAGACAGTCTCACTCTGTCACCCAGGCTGGGGTGCGGTGGCATGATGCTGGCTCACTGCAACCTCCACCTCCTGGGTTCAAGCAATTCTCATGTCTCAGCCTCCCGAATAGCTGATACTATAAGTGCACACCATGACGCCCGGCTAAATTTTTGTTGTTGTTGTATTTTTAGTAGAGATGGGGTTTCACCATGTTGGACAGGCTGGTCTTGGTACTCTTGACCTCAGGTTATACACCTGTCTTGGCCTCCCAAAGTGCCGGGATTATAGGCGTGAGCCACCATGCCTAGACACTCTTACACCATAGTTTGATCAAAGATTACTCTACTGTCAAGTTTATGGATTAAATCAAATTTTTGAATATATAAATATGATTTTTATAAGCATATTTTTGTGTGATTTACTCTCCTAGCCTACCTTCTTTAAAAATATATCCAGCAATAATTACAGATAGTTTTAAAGCTAATTTTCTTTAATTTCCTTAATTTGCCAAATTGCTATGAAAATGTAAAAGATCATCTAGAAAGAAAATCAATAAGGAAACACTGGACTTTAATTACACTTTAAACCAAATGCACCTAACAAACATGTACAGAACATTTAATCCAACATCGACGGAATCCATGTACTTCTCAAGTGCACACAGACCATTCTCCAAGATAGATTATCTTGTATGTTAGACTACAAAAAAGTCTTAACAAAATTAAGACTATTGAAGTCAATCAGGTATCTTTTCTGATCACAATAGTATGAAACCAGAAATCAGTAACAGGAGAAATCCTAAAAAATTCACAAATATGTAGAAACTGAATAACATACTCCTAAAAAACCAATGGGTCACTGAAGAAGTCAAAAAGGAAATAGAGACAAATGAAAATGAGACTACAACATACAAAAACTTATGAGTACTTTTCTGCATCGTATAAGCAGGAATTGTATAGTAACAAATGTTTATATCAATTAACAAAACTCAAATAATCTAGCAGACTAAGCTCAAGTTAGCCAAAGAGAGGAAATAAAGATCAGAGCAGAAATAAAATAGAGACGAGAAACAATGAAAAACAATGAAACTAAAAGTTGTTTTACTGAGTAAACAAAGCCAACAAAGCGTTTCCTAGACTAACTAGGAAAAAAGAAAGAAGACTCAAATAAAATGAGAAATGAAAGTGGAGACATTACAAATGATACCACAGAAATACAAAGGATCATAAGAAACTAGTATGAAAAATTATACACAAACAAAATGGATAATCTAGAAGTGGACAAATTTCTAGACACACACAACCTACCAAGACTGAATAATGTATCATGAAGAAACAAATTCTGAACAAGACCAATAACAAGTAAGGAGATTGAGTCAGTAATAAAAAGTCTCCCATCAAAAAGAAGCCCAGGACTCGATGGCGACACCACTGAATTCTACCAAACATTTCAAGAACTAATACCAATCCTTCTCAAACTCTTCCAAAAAATCAAAGTGGAGGCAATGCTTTAAAACTTATTTTACCAAGCCAGCATTACCCTGCTCCAAAACCAGACAAGGACAATACAAGAAAAGAAAATACAAGCCAATATCTCAGATGAACGTAGATTCAAAAATTCTCAACCTAATACCAGTAAACCAAATTAAACAACACATTAAAAAACTATTCACCTTGATCAAGTAGGATTTACCCCTGAGTAGCAAGGATGGCTCAACATATGCAAATCAATAAGTGAGATAAGCATTAACAGAATGAGGGTCAAAAACCATATAATCTTAAGAAAAGTCATTTGACAAAACTCAACACCCTTTTGTGGTTAAAAAAAAAACTTCTCAAAACTTTAGGTATAGAGGGAATGTACCTCAACACAATAGAAGCGATAATCACCCCTCCATATTTGCAGATTCCATATTCATGGATTCAACCAACCATGGGTCAAAAATACAGTATCTGTGGGATATGGAACCCACAAATAAAAAGGGCTGGCTTTTTGTATCCACAGGTTCCACAGACAAACTGCAGGACTTGAGCATCCATAGGTTTGG
Organism: Homo sapiens; assembly: GCF_000001405.40. Taxonomy (NCBI): domain Eukaryota; kingdom Metazoa; phylum Chordata; class Mammalia; order Primates; family Hominidae; genus Homo; species Homo sapiens. The sequence goes on along the minus strand of NC_000017.11, from coordinate 3,121,690 downwards.
GGATGTGCAGGGGGTCGTGGAATCAATTCCCCAAGTAAACTGAGGGATGACTGTCTGTGTCAAACCCACAGCTAACATCATATTCAACAGTGAAAAGTTGAAAGCTTTTCCTCTAAGATCAGGGACAAAACAAGGATGCCCACCCTCAACACTTCTTTTCAACGCAGTACTGGAAATTCTATCCAGAGCAATTAGGCAAGAGAAAGAAAGAAAAGGCATCCTAATATGAAAAGAAGTAAAATTGTTTCTATTTGCTGACAACGTGATCTTATATATAGATGACCCTAAAGACTCCACCAGAAAACTATTATAACTGATAAAGAAATTCAATAAACTTGCAGGATTCAAAATTAACATACAAAAATCAGTAATGTTTCCATACACGAATAATAATATGACAATGAAATTAAGAAAGTGATCTGATTTACAACAGATATAAACAAAATAAAAGCAACAAAAATAAATAAAATATTTAGGCATAAATTTAACTAAAGACCTGTATGACGAAAACTACTAGATACTGTTGAATGAAATTGAAGAAAACACAAATAAATAGATATTCTGTGTTCTTGGATTAGAATTATTATGAAATGCCCAAATTGATCTACAGATTTCATGCAATCCTTATCAAAACTACAATGTCATTTTTCACAATAGAAAATAATTCTAAAATTCATATGGAACTACAAAAGACCCCAAATAACCAAAACAATATTGAGCAAAAAGAACAAAGCTTGGAGGCATCACACTCTCTGATTTCAAAATATATAATAAAACAATTATCAGAACAGCATGGTACAGGCATAAAAATGAGCACATCAACCAATGGAACAGGATAGAAAGTGCAGATATAAACTCATACATTTATGGCTAACTGATTTTTTACAATGGTGTCAAGAACACACTATGGGAAAAGATGGTCTATTCAATAAATGATGCTGAGGAAACTGGGTATCTAACATGCAGAAGAATGAAATTCGACCCTTAGTTTAACTATAAACAAAAATCAACACAAAATTGATTAAAGTCTTCAATATAAGACCTAAAACTGTAAAACTACTAGAAGAAAACATAGGGGAAAATCTCCATTATTTTCGTCTGGGCAATGATTTTTTTAATATGTCCTCTAAGGCACAGGCAACAAAAGCAAAAATAGACAAACAGGATTGAATCATACTGTAAAGCTTCTCCAGGAAATAATACTAATAATTAAAACCTAGATGATGGGTTGATAGGTGGAGCAAACCACCATAGCACATGTATACTTATGTAACAAATCTGCAGGTTCTGCACATGTATCCCAGGACTTAAATTTTTTTTAAAAGTTACACAATGAAATTTTTTAAAGATTAAACATTAAAAAGCTAAATATAATTATGTTTATGTAATTTCATTTAAAATATAAAAGTAAATGGAAAAAATTGCAAACCTAAAATTATTTTTCAAATGCTTTTTCTAAATTGGCAAAAATTATGTATTGAAAGCAGAATAAAATTAATATAAAATTTTTACTGAAATTAAATAAGGAATATTTCTTGTTTTTATTATAAATTTTTACAAAAATAAAAATATTTCCATATGTAGCATTCAAAGTTCATTCAGTTGCCAGTATAAAGAATCAGAATAACATTTCAAACATGTTACATTAACCTATCTGTATGAAAATGTGTAAGTAGGCCAGGCACAGTGGCTCACACCTGTAATCCCGGCACTTTGGGAGGCTGAGGCAGGTGGATCACCTGAGGTCAGGAGTTTGAGACCAGCCTGGCCAACATGGTGAAACCCTGTCCCTACTAAAAATACAAAAATTAGATGGGCGTGGTGGCGGGTGCCTGTAATCCCAGCTATTCAGGAGGCTGAGGCAGGAGAATCCCTTGAACCCGGGAGGCAGAAGTTGCAGTGAGCCAAGATCACGCCACTGCACCCCAGCCTGGGCAACAAAGAGCGAAACTCCTTCTCAAAAAAAAAGAAATGTATAATATAAAATTTTAAACTTGTAATATTTAAATTAAATATAACCATCATTCTCAGCAAACTATCACAAAGACAAAAAACCAAACACCGCATGTTGTCACTCATAGGTGGGAATTGAACAATGAGAACACATGGACACAGGAAGGGGAACATCACACACCGGCGCCTGTTGTGGGGTGGGGGGAGGGATAGCATTAGGAGATACACCTAATGTAAATGACGAGTTAATGGGTGCAGCACACCAACATGGCACATGTATACATATGTAACAAACCTGCACATTGTGCACATGTACCCTAGAACTTAAAGTATAAATATATATATAATATATAAATAAAAAAATAAATAAATATAACAATGTTATTGCAAAGATTTGATCCATGTTCACAGTGCATTCAACAACTCATCTATTATTAAACAAAAGAGATCTAAATATCCCTCCTACTTAGTGGACACAAGCCTCAGTTCTCTACCAATCTGTGAAGAAACAAAGGACTTCATATTGGCATCAAAGTGCAGAAGAAAAACATTTTGTTCCCAATGAAAGAATGACAAACTACAAATATATAGTGATTATTTTTTAATTAGACTTTGTTCAATATCAAGTTTGAAATATCATCTCCAATAGCATATATGTTTGTGTTATGATAGAGGCATAATCCACATATTAATAAAATAACAATTTTTGATCATGTTTCTGCAACTGATTTTTCTCAAATCTGGCCGGCTTTACAATGATCTATGTGACCTGCTTGGCCCCATGAAAACGTGGTTTTACAAACTCTGCTCTCCACTTTCTGGTTGTATCTGAAGAAAATCATAATTCAAGCTCACAATGAGAACTATGAGGAAGATATGAAGGAAATGGTCATGATTAAATGAGAAGTGATTGGAACCGAATGAAACAGGAGTAGGACTCTATAGCCCCAAGACACAGTATAGTCATGATCTCTAAACGTAAACTCCCTGGGTTCAAATCTTAACTATATCACTGACGTTTTGTGTGATATTGGACGGCAAATTAATTATTATTATTATTATTATTATTATTATTATTATTTTTGAGACAAAGTCTCACTCTGTTGCCCATGTTGGAGTGCAGTGGCACGATCTTGGCTCACTGTAACCTCTGTCTCCCAGGTTCAAGCGATTCTCCTGCCTCAGCCTCCCAAGTAGCTGGGATTACAGGTGCGTGCCACCATGCCCAGCTAATTTTTGTATTTTTAGTAGAGACGGGATTTCGCTATGTTGGCCAGGCTTGTCTTGAACTCCTGACCTCAGGTGACCCACCCACTGCAGCCTCCCAAAGTGCTGGGATTACAGGCGTAAGCCACCATGCCCAGCCTCTGTCTCTTTATTCATAAAATTGGGATAATCATGGGACCAACTTCATAGTGTTGGTATGTGAGTAGGTTGTGAAAGTGCCTTACACAGAGAAAACCACCCAATAAGGGTTTACTATTTATTAGCTCTTTTACAGACAGGTTGTTCTGCGAGGTCTGGAAAATTACATAAAAATTAAAGGATAGAATGATGTGAGGATATGTATGCAGAGAAGGAAATAAATGCTTTTATTCAACAGCAAAGAGTAAGGTATTGGAAGCACAGAACTCTAGGAGTACATGTGCTCCCTAAGACAGAAAATGTTGGGGTTTTTCTTTTCTCCATTTGAGAATGTCATTGAAAATTCTTGAGCAGGATGAACACAAAGATTACAGTGATATTTAAGAAGTTAACTCCCAAGGCCTGGCGTGGTGGCTCACACCTGTAATCCTAGCACTTTGGGAGGCCAAGGTGGGTGGATCCCTTGAGGTCAGGGGTTTGAGACCAGCCTGGCCAACATGTGAAACCCCGTCTCTACAAAAATACAAAAATAAGCCAGGTGTGATGGCATGCACCTGTACTCCAGCTCCTTAGGCGGCTGAGGTGGGAAAATTGTTTGAACCCTGAAGTGGAGGTTGCAGTGGGCCGAGATCATGCCACTGTACTCCAGCCTGGGGGACAGAGCGAGACTCTGTCTCAAAAAAAGAAAAAAAAAGTTAATTCCCAACTAATATGGATAATAGGTGTTGGCACAAAGATATTTAACGTTTATTTTCAAGCTTCATTTCCACCTGGGAAGGAAGGAAGAAGCATACTTAGCACCTGGCTTCCTGCCCCCAACTTCACTCCAAACACAGGTCTGTTGTCATATTTTTCCTGTTAGCCTTTAGCATAGAGTTTTGTTTAAACTAAAGGTTTAGTGGTCTTAAAAAATCTTTAAGCCACTGATTTAGAGTGATATTTCATTATCAACTTTACTACACCTACTAAATTCAATAACGGTAAAATGCCAACTATTACTATTTTAAAGACAAAAAAATTTTCTTTGTGCTGAAGACTCTGCCCAGGGTTCCCCCTCATGTCTCTGTTCCTCAGGCTGTAGATGAAGGGGTTCAGCATGTGGGTCACCCCAGTGTACATCACAGCCATGACAGTGTCCTTCACAGTGTTATGATTCGTCAATGGGCACAAGTAGAGACCAATAATTGTCCCATAGAAGAGAGACACCACAGAGAGGTGGGGGCCACAGGTGGAGAAAGCCTTCTGGATGCCCCCAGTGGAAGGGACCCTGAGGATGGTGGAGACGATTCTTGCACAGGACATGATGAGGAGTAGGAATGGGATGACAAGGATGAGCCCGCCCATGAAAAACATCACCCACCCATTGACTTGCGTGTTGGAGCAGGCCAGCTTCAACAAGGTAGATGTATCACAGAAAAAGTGAGGAATCACATTCTCAGCACAAAAGGACAGCCTGGCCATAAGCAAGGTGTGCAACGTGGCATGGGCAGTGGTCAACAGCCAGGAGAGTGTCAGCAGACCAAGGCAACACTTGGGGCTCATGATAGTGGTGTAGTGCAGAGGAAAGCAAATAGCCACATAGCAGTGATAAGCCATGACCACAAGGAGGAAGCTCTCCAGAACTCCATAAAACAGATGAAAGTACATCTGAGCCAGGCAGTCCGCAAAGGGGATGGATGGGTTTTGGCTCTGCATGTTCTGCAGCAATTTGGGCATTGTGACCGAGGAAAAGCAGAGGTCAGAGAAGGACAAGTTGCTGAGACACAAATACATAGGCATGTGGAGGTGGGAGTCCAGTCGAATGAGGACAATGACGAGGAGGTTCCCCAGGAGGGTGGTAAGATACACGGCCAAGAACAAGGCATAGAACAGATTCTGCTGCTCAGGTTGGATGGAAGGCCCAGGAGCAGGAACTCTGAGATCATGGTTTGGTTCTTCTTCATCATTCTGTGACTCTATTATCCTTAAGAAGAATATAATGCACCTTAACACCTACAGGTAACCAATAAACATATCTCTATAATGTGTGGCCTATTTGCAAAGAGACCATGAATGAGAATGTAGGCACAGGTAGCAGACTGGCCTCTGAACCCCATCATCTATTGAAATTTCCCAGTCGAAGCCACTGATGACTCTAAATCCCCATCTCTAAATCCAATGACCTATCACATTTAACACTAATGATCACTTCCTACTCCATGATACCCTCCCCTCACTTGGCCAGGTGACGCTCTCCCTCCCTACCTTGCAATACTTCACACTCTTCTCAGACAACTGCTCCTGTTCCATTATCTTTGAATATTGGTGCTTCTCAGAGTACTGTCCTTACACATTTCCCAAATATGCCAGTGAGTCCCAAATGTACTTCTTCAACCCACACCATTCCTCTGAGCTACAGACCTGGATGTTCAGCTCCCTGATGACCATCTTATTTGCATGTTTCATGGCCACCACAAGCTTCATCTTTCTGATACTAAGTCTGCTGTCTTCCCTGACCCACGTGTGTTCCACTCCAGTATTCTCTTGCTGCCTATGCCATCTACATGGTCCCCAAGCCAGAAACCTGACAGTCATCCTTGACTCTTGCCTACCCTTCAGTTCCCTCATTCAATTACCACATCTTATCAATTCCACCTTCTAAACATCCCTCCTTGTGCTCATAGTTTGCACCCCACAGCCACCTTTCAGGTCAGCTACTTTTCTCACCTGCACCACTGAGGCAGACATGGTCTCCAAACATATATTTTTGCTCTCTTTAAATCTATTGACTTGAGGCCGGGCGTGGTGGCTCATGCCTGCAATCCCAGCACTTTGGGAGGCTGAGGCGAGTGGATCGCCTGAGGTCAGGAGTTCGAGACCAGCCTGACCAATATGGTGAAACCCCGTCTCTAATAAAAATACAAAAAACTTAGCCGGGCGTGGTGGCGGGCACCTGTAATCCCAGCTACTCAGGAGGCTGAGGCAGGAGAATCACTTGAACCTGGGAGGCAGAGGTTGCTGTGAGCCGAGATCTTGCCACTGCACTCCAGCCTGGGTGACAGAGCGAGACTCCATCTCAAAAAAATAAAAACAAAAAATAAAAATAAATAAATCTATTGACTTTATCCTGAATCATCCTTTTCATAACTCAACCTGCTCATGTCACTATCTAATTAAAGAGTTTCTCATTTCTGTTAAGATAATGTCCAAAATAGCTAATATGAACCATAAGACCCTGTTTTACCAGGTGAATTCTCTCCTGCTTACCTCTCTCTCTCTACTCCAGGAACAACACTGGATTTCTCCTAGTATCTCAAAAGCATCTGCTCTCACCCACCATGACATATCACAGTACCACTGCCTTGAACTTGCTGTCTCAACCCCATTCCATCTCTTCTCCTGGAAACTCATCCTTTAGATCATTAAATCTGGGAGGACTTGCTCTTTGCTAGACTTTAATAATTGAGAAAATATCTATCTTGTTCACTGATGAACCCCAACATCTACAGCAATGTGTGCCACAAAATATGTATATATATATTTGTGCTACCTAAGAGACTACTGAATTATTTCAACAGAAACCAAAACTACTGGAGGTTAGAACATCTACTGCCACTGGGCCTTTCCAAATCAAGAATTCCTTCTTATAAATCCTTTGTTTTGATTTCTAGGTAACTGCACTGTAGGCTTGCCAGCTTCATTCCAAAATATTACCCCATCCTCAGCTACCCTGTAACATGGCTTAATGCCAATCTACCCAGACAAGGCTACGATTTTCTTTTCTTGTGATTCAGCCTACCCAATATCAAGATATTGATGTGGGCAGAAATGAGACTGATGTGAAAGTTTAAAGATGATGGGAAGGCCAGGTGCGGTGACTCACACTTGTAATCCCAGCAATTTGGGAGGCCAAGGTCGGTGGATCACCTGAGGTCAGGAGTTCGAGACCAGCCTGACCAATATGATGAAAGCCCATCTCTACTAAAAATACAAAAATTAGCCAGGCGTGGTGGAGGGTGCCTGTAATCCCAGCTACTCAGGAGGCTGAGGCAGGAGAATCACTTATACCTGGGAGGTGGAGGTTGCAGTGAGCCGAGATCGTGCCATTGCACTCCAGCCTGGGCAACAACAGTGAGACTCTGTATCAAAAAAAAAAGAAAAAATCACGGGGAAAGGATTAAGGACATTTCCAATCTCTCCGACCTGGCTCCTGGTCTCCTCCAGATGCCTCTCTCACAGTGCAGTCCTGGGGAGTTTTCAGAACTTCTACAAACCCTGAAGATACAGAAGGGACCTCTCACTACAGGGTATTTAACAGGATCGTGGGGTTTAACCCGGCCAGATTAATGTGTACAGAAAAAATGAAAGATGTGGTGCTGTGTTTTACTGATGAGAAGAATCTATCTTTGATTCTCTGGGAATTTCCATCCTGGGAACTAAGTTGGTACCATCTCTTTTTAAAATGTGTGATTACAGAGCCCAAATCAGTCAGATATCACAAATGCTGCCACTGAGGAGATGAGGCATGTGGGCTTTGCCTGCTCTTTTCATTTCTCTGCATCTTAATTTCTTCAGCTGTAAAATAGGAGTACTGACTTAACCCTGCTGATGGCACAAAGCAGTGATAAAGTTGAAATCTTTTATGAAAATTCCTTCTTTACGTGACTCCACTATGTAATACAGTTGACCCTTGAACAACACAGGGATTAAAGGCACCAACCCCTGTGCAGTCAAAAATACACAAATACGTCTCCCTCCTCTCCCTCCTCTCCCTCCTCTCCCTCTCGTCTCCCCTTTCCACGGTCTCCCTCTCATGCCGAGCCGAAGCTGGACTGTACTGCTGCCATCTCGGCTCACTGCAACCTCCCTGCCTGATTCTCCTGCCTCAGCCTGCGGAGTGCCTGGGATTGCAGGCGCGCGCCGCCACGCCTGACTGGTTTTCGTATTTTTTTGGTGGAGACGGGTTTCGCTGTGTTGGTCGGGCTGGTCTCCAGCTCCTAACTGCGAGTGATCCGCCGGCCTCGGCCTCCCGAGGTGCGGAGATTGCAGACGGAGTCTGGTTCACTCAGTGCTCAATGGCGCCCAGGCTGGAGTGCAGTGGCGTGATCTCGGCTCGCTACAACCTCCACCTCCCAGCCGCCTGCCTTGGCCTCCCAAAGTGCCCAGAGTGCAGCCTCTGCCCGGCCGCCACCCTGTCTGGGAAGTGAGGAGCGTCTCTGCCTGGCCGCCCATCGTCTGGGATGTGAGGAGCCCCTCTGCCTGGCTGCCCAGTCTGGAAAGTGAGGAGCGTCTCTGCCCGGCCGCCGTCCCATCTAGGAAGTGAGGAGCGCCTCTTCCCGGCCGCCCATCGTCTGGGATGTGGGGAGCACCTCTGCCTGGCTGCCCAGTCTGGAAAGTGAGGAGCGTCTCCGCCCGGCCGCCATCCCATCTAGGAAATGAGGAGCGCCTCTTCCCGGCCGCCCATCACATCTAGGAAGTGAGGAGAGTCTCTGCCTGGCCGCCCATCGTCTAGGATGTGAGGAGCCCCTCTGCCCCGCCGCCCCGTCTGGGATGTGAGGAGCGCCTCTACCCGGCCGCCACCCCGTCTAGGAAGTGAGGAACGTCTCTGCCTGGTCGCCCGTCGTCTGGGATGTGAGGAGCCCCTCTGCCTGGCTGCCCAGTCTGGAAAGTGAGGAGCGTCTCCGCCAGGCCGCCATCCCATCTAGGAAGTGAGGAGCGTCTCTGCCCGGCCGCCCATCGTCTGGGATGTGGGGAGCGCCTCTGCCCCGCCGCCCCGTCTGGGATGTGAGGAGCGTCTCTGCCTGGCCGCCCCTACTGGGAAGTGAGGAGCCCCTCTGCCCGGCCAGCCGCCCCGTCCAGGAGGGAGGTGGGGGGGGGGTCAGCCTCCCGCCAGGCCAGCTGCCCCGTCCGGGAGGGAGGTGGGGGGGCAGCCCGCCCTGCCAGCTGCCCCGTCCGGGAGGTGAGGGGCGCCTCTGCCCGGCCGCCCCTACTGGGAAGTGAGGAGCCCCTCTGCCCGGCCACCACCCCGTCTGGGAGGTGTACCCAACAGCTCATTGAGAACGGGCCATGATGACAATGGCGGTTTTGTGGAATAGAAAAGGGGGAAAGGTGGGGAAAAGATTGAGAAATCGGATGGTTGCTGTGTCTGTGTGGAAAGAAGTAGACATGGGAGACTTTTCATTTTGTTCTATACTAAGAAAAATTCTTCTGCCTTGGGATCCTGTTGATCTATGACCTTACCCCCAACCCTGTGCTCTCTGAAACATGTGCTGTGTCCACTCAGGGTTAAATGGATTAAGGGCGGTGCAAGATGTGCTTTGTTAAACAGATGCTTGAAGGCAGCATGCTCGTTAAGAGTCATCACCACTCCCTAATCTCAAGTACCCAGGGACACAAACACTCTGCCTAGGAAAACCAGAGATCTTTGTTCACTTGTTTATCTGCTGACCTTCCCTCCTTCCCTCCACTATTGTCCTATGACCCTGCCAAATCCCCCTCTGCGAGAAACACCCAAGAATGATCAATAAAAAAAAAAAAAATACACAAATACATTTTGACTGCCCCAAAACTTAACTATTACTAGCCTACCGTTGACCAGAATCCTTACAGATAACATAAACAGTCAATTAACACACATTTAGTATGTTATATTCTTACAATAAAGTAAGCTAGAGAAAAGATGTTACTAAGAAAATCATAAGGAAGAGAAAACATATTTACTAATCATTAAGTAGAAATGGATCATCATAAAGCTCCTCATCCCTGTTGTCTTCATGTTGAGGAGGCTGAGGACAAGGAGTTGGTCTTGCCACTCAGGGTGGGGTTAGTCTTGCTACTCAGGGTGGCAGAGGCAGAAGAAAATCTAAGTGGACCTATGCAGTTCAAAACCTGTGTTGTTCATGGGGCAACTGTATTTATGAATACCATTTTAAATAAAGAAATTGAATCTGGTAAACAGCAATCAAGATATTTCTAGAATGTTAAACAGTAATTTGGATTTTACAGTACCTAAAGAACAGTCCCACATAGTCACACCATAGAACCCTAGTAATCAGGACCCGAAGGTCGAAAGGACCCAGAGGGACACAGCTTCCAGCCTAACTTACAAGGAATGTCTGAAAGGAATCCCGAGGCCTTGACCTGGGAGCCTTCGCTCTTTTATGCACGTTAGACACATGGAGATACAGCCTCTGTCGTCATCATCTAAGCCCACCCCGTCCCTTCACATATCTCCCAGTCTATGTTTTCCAGGTTCTAGAGACAGTAGGTCCCATTGGACCCCAGGCCCTGGTGAAACTTATTAACAACAAACAAAGTAATTGCCCATGATCCCCTGGGACAAATCTCCTAGGAGGTCTAGAGCAGGCAGTACTTTATAGCTGCCCATTCTGGGGTAGGAGAACAGGCAGAAGAGGAAGCAAGATCATCCCCAAGTCCCACCAGGAATGCTGCTCAGACCACAGCAGTCCACAGGATCTCTTCCTTGTCTGAATATTTCTTTATTTTATTTTAGTTTTTGAGATGAAGTCTGGCTCTGTTGCCCAGGCTGGAGTGCAGCAGCATGATCTCAACCCACTTCAACCTCCGCCTCCTGGGTTCAAGTGATTCTCCTGCCTCAGCCTCCCAGGTAGCTGGGATTACAGGTGCCCACCACTGCTAATTTTTGTATTTGTAGTAGAGACAGGGTTTCACCATGTTGGCCAGGGTGGTCTTGAACTCCTGACCTCAGGTGATCCCTCCGCCTCGGCCTCCCAAAGTGCTGGGATTACAGGTGTAAGCCACTGCACCCAGCCTGAATATTTCATTATTTTAATTCCTAAAATATTTGCTTTCCAAAATATAATGAATTGCTCTGTATTGTCCACTTATTACTTCAAAAATGTTATCCTAAAAATGAAGAAAGAAACGTTCTTTATTGATCAACTAATTCAATCATCTGGCCCCATCATTTATCTCTGCTACATTTAGGAAAACCCACTTTGAGTTATGTCCACACATCCCTCATCACTGAATGTTGAAATCTAATCCCAGTCTCTAAACACAATACAATTGCTACCTCTACACAATTACTTCCTAATTTCTCCCAGCCACATATGACAACTTTATCTTGGGTCTTTACGGGTTAAGAGGGCGTAAAAAGATAAATGGGGAGAAAGTGGAGTTCTGAGAAAAGTAACCACATTTGCAAAGACTCAAGAGGTCAAGACAACATGGCATACTCAAGAAACTAAAGGACGTTCTGTGTCCGGACGCGTATCGTGTGAAGCAGAGAACTGAAGGGGAGAAAGGGAACCAGGCAATGTCCTGCTCCTCAAGGCCTTGTGAGATGCAGTCAGCAGCACCACCTTCATCCCAAGGGGAAAGTCTCTGACTGGTTTCAGGTAGGGCAATTAGATGCTTAGATTTAATTGGTAGAAATGTAAATCTGATTGAAGTGAGGAGACTAGACTAGCATTAATCAATCAGAAAGGCAGATTAATCATTTACAAGGTTATTTCAGTAACTCAAGTGAGAGATGATGGTAACCTGCATTAAGGGAGTGGAAACAGGGCCTCAATTACACATACTGGAGAAATAGGGACACCTATAAATATTCTTCACTAATCTTCATTTCAACATGAGAATAAAATAAAACTTTAATTCATCTGGTGAAGTAAATAAGGGGGAGCCATCAAGGGATAATAGTTGCCAAAGAATACCTTCTTGTACAAGTAGTGTGATTTATACCCTCTTTTGTCCACCAAATGTTGTAACCAAACTAAGATTTCCTGACATTTTTTTGAGACAGAGCCTCACTTGGTCACCCAGGCTGTAGTGCAAAGGTGTGATCTCTGCTGACTTCAACTTCTGCCTCCCAGATTCAAGCAACTCTCGTGCCTCAGCCTCTCAAGTAGCTGAGACTACAGGCACATGTCACCACGCCCAGCTCATTTTTGTATTTTTAGTACAGACGGGGTTTCACCATGTTGGCCAGGCTGGTCTCAAACACCTGACCTCAAGTGATCCTCCCACCTCAGCCACCCATAGTGCTGGCATTATAGGCATAAGCCACAATGCCAGAGACACAAGTCTCTTCAAAAATAAAAGAGGCAGACCTCTGCTTGCACACAGGATATAGTGGGTTCTAGCAAGCTAAAATGATCCTCCTGCAACAATTAGAATTTTAAAAGGTAAAATCATAATTTTAAAAGGTAAAATCATAATTTAAAGGTATCAAAGAGTTGCAGAAGCAACAAAAACTACATAACCTAAAGTTTCAGAGAGAGGGTGACCATTCTAAGATGAGGTTACTCCAACTAGCTATTTTTTCCCTTGGGAAAAGTAGTTGCTGAATCTGGGCACAGACTTAGGTAGAGGATCTGTGCCGGGGAAATGAAAGCATTAAAGCGTGTAGCACTCACGCAAGACCAGAATAACAGTTTTGAAGCATGAGGGGCCTCAAACCCCTGTACTATTCTCCGCATGAGACATTTGCTGACTCTGATAAGAATGCTGGAAATCTAGGCAGACACTACTAAAAGACGGAAAAAAATCTCCTGCCGACTTTCAGGACTGAGGAAGCAAACACACTGTTAGAAGAGGCCTTTTTCGAACACGCCTCTGGTCTCTCCCTCAAGATATTTGCCAAACATTGAATTTGCATGGAGGCAAAGTCCAAAGAACTAAGCTAAAAACCTCTGAAGAAAATTTCTCACTACTTTTCAGGGCTAAGGACATCAAGATGCATGAAAATCCCAAAAAGGAAACAACCTAGGAACAGAAGTAAACTTAACCTTCCTAAAGTTACAACCTAATCCTAAGCCCAAACCAATTCCTGATTGAATTCAGGTGATGAACCCACTCACCGTATCTGCATTAAAGAGGAAAAGAAGAACCATCTCTGGTAGAGGTAACAACACTTGAAGCCACTGTAACCCTAGTATCCATGACTCCCAGCACATACTAAAAAAATTACTACACACAGGCAAGAGGCAAAATTACATGCCTAATAATTAAGACCAAAAAATAAAGATTGAAAGATGACTCTGATCTTAGAGGTGGCAGACAAGGAATTTAAGATAACAATTAGTATGTGAAATAGATAAAAAGATGAATAATTTTACTAGCAAATAGCATAAAGAGCACAATGGACATTCTGGATGTGAACACTACAGTATCTGAAATTAAGAACTCAGTGCATGAATTTAACAAGTTGGACATAGCAAGATACAGAATCAATAAACTAGAAGACAAGTCAATATAAAATACCTAAACTGAAGTGCAAAAAAAATTAAAGGAAGAAACCCCAGATACAGCCATAAGAGATAAATGGAACATGCACAGAAGGCCTAATTATGTATCACTGGAGTCCCAGAAGGACAGGAGAAAGAGAATGGAACAGGGTCATATATTTGAGAAGATAATTAACCAAGAATTTTTCAAACAGATAAAAGACATAACACTACAGGTTGAAGGAGCTCAGCAAATCTCAAGCAGTATAAATCGAGAGAAAACCAAACATAGGCATATTGGAGAAAACTACTGAAACCAAATATAAACGAAAACCCTAAAAGCTGTTGAGGAACAGGACAGGGTCTCAATACCTTCAAACAGCATATCTTAATCCATTCAGGCTGCTATAACAAAATAGTATAGAGTGAGTGACATACATAACAGAAATTTATTTCTCACAGTTCTGTCTGGAGGCTGGGAAGTTCAAGATCCATTTGCCAGAAGATTCCGTGTCTGGTGAGTACCCACTTCCTGATTCACAGATGGCCATCTTTTTGCTGCGTCTTTACATGTCAGAAGGGGACAAGGGAGCTCTCTGGAGTCTCTTTTAAAAGGACACGAATTCCAGCCAGGTGCAGTGGCTCATGCCTGTAATCCTAGCACTTTGGGAGGCTGAGGCAGGTGGATCACTTGAGGCCAGGAGTTCAAGACCAGCCTGGCCAACATAGTGAAACCCCGTCTCTACTAAAAATACAAAAATTAGCTGGGCATGCTGGCACATGCCTATAATTCCAGCTACCCAGGAGGCTTATGCAGGAAAATTGCTTGAACCCGGGAGGTGGAGGTTGCAGTGAGTTAAGATCACGCCATTCACTACACTCCAGCCTGGGCTGTGTCAAAAAAAGAAAAAAAGGAAATACTGAAGAAGAAGAACAAGCAAACCATATAGCAATCCTATTAGAAGATATAATAATTAATATGTAGACTATTGATATAAGGATAGGCAAACTGACAAATGGAAGAGATTAAGATTCCAGAAACAGATTCATATATATAGTCACCAGACTGATGATAAAGATTTCCACTGTGATGGAGCAGGGAAAGGACGGCTTTTCTCCAAATGGCACTGGATCCGTTGAATATCCACACTTCAGGAAGAAAAATGTATGTTGATCTCTACCTCACCAAATATAAATATCAATTCCACATTGATCACAGATCTAAATGTGAAAGGTAAAAGCAAATCTTCCTGATGAAATCATAGAGAACATGACAAAAATTTAGCAAAGATTTCTTAAGATATAGACAGCACTAATTATTTAACAATTGATAAATTAAAACATTAAAACTCTTCTATTTCTCTAACGGCACCATTAATTGAACAAAAGCCAACCCACAAAGGTGGGTAAGATAGTCTTGTTACAAACATCTGACAAAGGCTCATAGCCAGAAAATATGAAGAATTACAAATCAACATTTAAAAAAAACCAGATAACCCAATAGAAAAAAATGAGAAGAACACTTGAGTAGGTGATTTACAAAGACAATATACTTTTGGATAATAACTCTATGAAAAGTGCTTAACTTCATTAGTCATCAGAGAAATGTAAATGGAAATCAGCAATTCTACTCTTGGACATATATTCAAAAGAAAAGAAATCAATGTATCGAGGAGATATCTACACTTCCACGTTTACTGCATCACTATTCACAATGGCCAAAATATGGAATCAACCCAAATGCCCATCAAAGGATGAATGAAGAAAGAAAATATGGCATATATACGCAGTGGAATATTATCCAGCCAAAAAAAAAATGAAATCCTGTCCTTTGCAGCAACATAGATGAAACTAGAAGTCATTATGTTCGGTGAAATAAGTCAAGCACAGAAACACAAATATTATATGTTGTCACTCAACATGTGAAAGTTTAAAAAGTGGATCCCATGATGATAAACGAGCAGACTGGTGGTCACCAGAGGCCAGGAAGAGTGAGGGGAGGGGGAGGAAGAAATGTTGATTAATAGGTACAAAAGTACAGTTTGATAGAAGCAGTAAGACTGAATATAGTTTACAATCATCTATTGTATATTTCAAAATAGTAAAAGGGGAACAATTCAGATGTTTCTAGCATAAAAAAAGACAACTATTTAAAGTGATATATATCCCAATTACACCAATTTGATCTTGACAAATTTTATGAAGATATTAAATTATCACATGTACCTCTATTATGTATCTTTTTTTAAAAAAAAAAAAATTCAACCATGGCGAGATACCGCTATACTCACCACAACAGCTAAAATGAAAAGGATGAAAAATACCAAATCATGTTAAGGTATTGAGCAACTAGAACTCTCATACACTGCTGGCAGTAGGGAAAATTGATACAAGTCTAGTACTTTGGAAAAGTGTTTAGCACTGGCTACAAAAACTATACATAGGCCTGCCATGTGATTTATAAATTCCACTCTTAAGTATATATGCCTAAGAGATATGCGTAGCTACACGACTCAGGACAAAAACCGGAAACTACTAATGCCCACAATGGGTGTTTAGTGGTCTCTTCACACAATAGAACACCATACAGCAATGAGCATGAACAACCTACAACCACATACAACTGTGTGGATGAATCTGACATATACAATGAGTGAAAAACGCCAACACAAAAGAGTACAAACTGTATACTTCCATTTAAATAAAGTAAGAAAATAGATAAAGCTAGCTTAATGATATTAGCAGTTAGGATAGTGAGTACCTGTGCAGGAACAGTGACTAGAAAGGAATATTTGGTCATTTCTGGAGGGTCAGTAATGTGTTTTTCATCTGAGTGCTGGTTACTCATGACTGGCCTGTTTGTAAACATTCCTGATAAAATTTTCAGGCTTCATTTTATTTCCTAAAATAATGTAGCATCATTATTTTTCCATCTATGTCTAATAACTATATTATCTAGAGTCCCTATATGCCTCCCCTGTGTTGGTTCTTGCTATTGGAATCTTCCTTGTGTCTTTTTATCTTTGGGTTTATGTTGGATATTGTGCTTGAAAAATTATTAACAGAAATAATTCTGTTATTTCAGCTCTAAGGTGACATTATGTTCCTCTAAATAGGATTTCTTTCTTGCTTTTGCTTAGTACTTTGGGTCACAGACATCTGGAATCATTCTAGTTGAAGTTTAGTACCTTAAATTTGCCAGACCTCTCCCTACTCAAAGTCAACAGGCAATACATGTAGAGTCCGCTTTATTTTTGGCTTACTGTTACTTTGGCTTACTGTTATATGTATTTTATCTTTTATTTTTTTTTTTTTCAGATGGAGTCTCACTCTGTTGCCCAGGCTGGAGTGCAGTGGTGCCATCTCGGCTCACTGCAACCTCCACCTCCCAGGTTGAAGCGATCCTCCTGCCTCAGTCTCCCAAGCATCTGGGACAACAGGTAAGTGCCAGCACGCCCAACTAATTTTTGTATTTTTAGTAGAGATGGGGGTTTCACCATGTTGGCCAAGATGGTCATGAACTCCTGACCTCAGGTGATCTGCCTGCCTCGGCCTCCCAAATGCTGGGATTTCAGGTGTGAGCCACCACACCCAGCCTTCCTAGGGTATATTTTAGGATTACTGCACAATAAGGAGCTGGTTTATTTCTTGTAAACAAGACTCATTTCCCAAGACCCTCACCTCTAGAGAATAACATCGGAGCAATTATCCATGTTCATCTCAAGAGGCTATCTGGGGATTGCATCCCCAAGTTCTCTCCAAAATGGATAAGCAGACCTGATGTGCTCCCTGTTCATCCCGTTTCTTCATGAATCTAGGATCCAAGACTCAGTTCTCATATCCCACAAATCTCATTGGGGCATCAATAGCCTGAAATCCTGTCTCCTTTTTTACAGAAGCTGAAGACCCAGGCAACAAGTTCTCTGCTCTGTACCTTTAGCCAATAGGATGAGTCTCCAAGACCTATTCAGAAAATAATGCATTCTGGTCTTTTATGACCTGAATGTGTTTTCATCCTGTAGAACAGGAACGTGGAGGAAGCTGAACCAGTGAACTCTGAGAGCAGCACAGAGCAGTGGGTAAGGTCTGTACATCTCAGCCTCATGCTCTTTCTCCCTCTTCTCTCTTATCTTCTCTCTTATCTTCTCTCTTCTCCATTTTCTCTGTCACACAAACATACTCACACACTTTGGGAACTCATGTAATCTCACCTCTTAGTCTTCAAAGGTAATAGAACAATCCCTTGAATCTTAGAAGCACTCTACAGTTTTCAAGGTACTTTCACATTCTCTGTTGCATGTAATTCTCACAGCCTGTGAGAATGACTACCTAGGTGAGAAGAGGGGATTTAGGCAGGTCGTGGGCCCTACTCAAGGTCATACAGCTAGGAAGTAACAGAAGAGGTACAAAGCCCAGTGTTTCCACTGCAAGCTTGGACCCCTTTTCCATATTGCCCCTACAATCTCCCCCCTCACACCCCAGCAACACAACAGAGGGGTCTGTGTCTCTGTGACCATCTGACCACATCAGTGTTCAGAACCCACTGACTCTTACAAACTCAGAGCAGTGTTTCCCAAAGTATAGCATCAGAACTACTGCATGCTTGCTAAAAAGAACTTGGTTCTCAGAAACAGGACTTCAAGAGAGACTTCAGGACTTCAAGAGAGAGAGTCAGAAAGTCAGAAAGTCAGCTTTTTGTTATGAAGCATCACAGGTGATCGTGATGCACATGAGTGCAGGAGATGCTTGCCTTGTGGGTTACAAAGCAGAGGTATCTGGCCAGATGCAATGGCTCACGCCTGTAATCCCAGATACTCAGGAGGCTGAGGCAGGAGAATGGCTTGAACCCGGGAGGTGGAGATTGCCGTGAGCCGAGATCGTGCCACTGCACTCCAACCTGGGCAGAGTGAGACTCCATTTCAAAAAAAAAGAAAGGAAAAGAAAGAAGAAAAAAGGAAGCAAGCAAGCAGAGGGATCAATTTCTCAATTTCCCTGGGAGTTCTCTGGCCTTCCTCAGTCTTGTCACCTGCCCTCTACCCTCCCTCCCATCAGCAGATGTCCCATAGAGCTCTGAATGGTAAGAACAAGACTGCAGAAAGAAGTCATTTGTGATGTGGGAAGCCTGTAATACCGTGTGCCCTCATCTTCTGTCTCCCCTGCAGTTGCACCATGAGGCCTGACACCAGGAGTCCCACCCTGACATCCTGGACCATTCCGGACAGACAGAGTGGGGTCCAGCTGCTCCTGTCTGAGAGGGCAGCAGAACCAGGATAGAGGCAAGACTGGGAACCCTGTTGCTCTTTGTACTGAGAGAGTGGGTTCCCTACTAGAAAGGGGTGGGAAATACAAGTTGGAGGAATGAAGAATAGGAGTCCCTTTGCCACCCCCATCACAGGCCCCTTCCAAGGACAATTAGGCTTTAAGTTTGGAGAGCTGCTTCCACATACAGCATTTCAGCTCTTTCTCCTGACCCCGGGGGAGGTGGGCATTATTGCTGTCCTCCATCCCATGGTAGAATAGTTAGATTGTGAAATCTGGAGGCAGAACGGGGGCTCAAATCCCAATGTGTCAGTTCTGATTGAGTGAATGTGAGAAACTCATTAACCTAAATCTCAGTCACCTCATCTATAAAGCAGGATAACAGAAACAAATAGCTCGTTGTTACAACGATATACGTCGTTGTAAATAAAAGATGTATATACATAGCACCGTAGGTATGTATGTATGTGTGTGTCTAATGAAATCGCAGTTTGTTCAAAAAATGCTTGAATTTGTTACGCTGGGGTTTGAACCCAAACTTCAGACTCAAAATCTCCTTCCACTATGCCACCTACCGTGGACATCTAGGAGTTTAACTTGCTACATTGAGGTAAGGAATTCACTCATTTGATGAATGCTAGGACTGCCATATACCCTCACCCCACCCCAAATCTGGCACTCCAAATTACTTTAATAGTCGAAATTACTCACAGTTCCCTCATCTCCATTTGCTTATTCTGCTGTGACTTCAAATTAACCATGTTTCAGATTGAATTTGCAGAACAGGCTCCATACTTCCCTGGCACACTGGCTGGTTTTCCAAAACATTGCAATAATATGTACAGTAATAATTAATATGTACAGTAATAACTGTACATATTTTGGGGGTACATGTGATATTTTGATACATGAATATAAGTGTAATCATCAAATCAGGATATTTAGGACAGTCATCACCTCAGACATTTATCATTTCATTGTGTTGGGAGCATTCTCTTTGTAGCAATTGTGAATGGAGGTTCATTCATGATTTGGCTCTCTGCTTGTCTATTGTTGGTGTAAAGGAATGCTTATAATTTTTGCACATTGATTTTGTAACCTGAGATTTTGCTGAAGTTGCTTATCGCTTAAGAAGTTTTGGGGTGGAAATGATGGGGTTTTCTAAATATAGAATCATGTCATCAGCAAACAGACAATTCGACTTCCTCTCTTCCTATTTGAATCCCCTTAATTTCTTTCTCTTGCCTGATTGCCCTGGCCAGAAATTCCAATACTATGTTGAGCAGGAGTGGTGAGACAGGGCATCCTTGCCTTGTACCGGTTTTCAAAGGGAATGCTTGCAGCTTTTGCTCATTCAATATGATATTGGCTGTGGGTTTGTCATAAATAGCTCTTATTTTGAGATACGTTCCATCAATACCTAGTTTATTGAGAGTTTTTAACATGAAGGGATGTTGAATTTTATCAAAATGCTTTTCTGCCTCTATTGAGATAATCGTATGGTTGTTGTCTTTGGTTTTCTTTATGTAATGGATTATGTTTATTGATTTATGTATGTTGAACCAGACTTGCATCCCAGGGATGAAGCCAACTTAATCGTGGTGGATAAGCTTTTTGATGTGCTATTGGATTCGGTTTGACAGTATTTTATTGAGGATTTTTGCATTGATGTTCTTCAGGGATATTGGCCTGAAGACTTCTTTTTTTGTTATGTCTCTGTGAGGTTTTGGCATCAGGATGATGCTGGCTTCATAAAATGAGTTAAGGAGGAGTCTCTCCTTTTCAATTGTTTGGAATAGTTTCAGAAGGAGTGGTACCAGCTCCTCTTTGTACTTCTGGTAGAATTTGGCTGTGAATCCATGTGAACCTGGGCTTTTTTTGGTTGGTAGGCTATTAATTACTGCCTCAATTTCAGAACTTGTTATTGGTCTATTCAGGGATTTGACTTCTTCCTGGTTTAGCCGTGGGAGGGTGTATATGTCCAGGAGTTTATTCATTTCTTCTAGATTTTCTAGTTTATTTGCGTAGGGGTATTTATAGTATTCTCTGATAGTAGTTTGTGTTTCTGTGGATAAGTGGTGATATCCCCTTTATCACTTTTTATTGTGTCTATTTGGTTCTTCTCTCTTTTCTTCTTCGTTAGTCTAGCTAGCAGTCTATCCATTTTGTTAATTTTTTCAAAAAACCAGCTTTTGTATTTATTGATTTTTTGAAGGGTTTTTTTGTGTCTCTATCTCCTTCAGTTCTGCTCTGATCTTACTTATTGTCTTCTGCTAGCTTTTGGATTCACTTGCTCTTGATTCTCTAGCTCTTTTAATAGTGATGTTAGGGTGTTGATTTGAGATCTTTCTAGCTTTCTGATGTGGGCATTTAGTGCTATAAATTTCCCTCTTAACACTGCTTTAGCTGTGTCCCAGAGATTCTGGTACATTGTCTCTTTGTTCTCATTGGTTTCAAACTACTTCTTGATATCTGCCTTAATTTCATTATTTACTGAGAAGTTATTCAGGAGTAGGTTGTTCAATTTCCATGTAATTGTGTGGTTTTGAATGAGTTTCTCAATCCTGAGTTCTAATTTGATGGCACTGTGGTCTGAGAGACTGTTATTATTTCAGTTCTTTTTCATTTGCTGAGGAGCGTTTTACTTCCAATTATGTGGTCAAGTTTAGAATAAGTGCCATGTGGTACTGAGACAAATTTTGTTGATTGGGGGTGGAGAGTTCTGTAGATGTCTATTAGCTCCACCTGATCCAAAGCTGAGTTCAAGTCCTGAATATCTTTGTTATTTTTCAGTCTCATTGATCTAATATTCACAGTGGGGTGTTAAAGTCTCCCACTTTAAAGACGCATAGACACATAAAGTCTATGAGTCTTTGTAGGTCTCTAGGAACTTCTTTTACGAATCTGGGTGCTCCTGTATTGGGTGCATATATATTTAGGATAGTTAGCTTTTCTTGTTGCATTGATCTCTATACCATTATGTAATGCCCTTGCCTTTTTTTATCTTTGTTGGTTTAAGGTCTGTTTTGTCAGAGACTAGGATTGCAACGCCTGCTTTATTTTTTATTTTTTTGCTTTCCATCTGCTTGGTAAATTTTCCTCTATCCCTTTATTTTGAGCCTATGTGTGTCTTTGTACGTGAGATGGGTCTCCTGAATACAGCACTCTGATGGGTCTTGACTCTTTATCCAAATTGGCCACCTGTGTCTTTTAATTGGGGCATTTAGCCCATTTACATTTAAAGTTAATATTGTTATGTGTGAATGTGATCCTGTCATGATGCTAGCTGGTTATTTTGCACACTGGTTGATGCAGTTTCTTCATAGTGTCATTGGTCTTTATATTTTGGTGTGTGTTTGCAGTCGCTGGTACCAGTTTTTCCTTTCCATATTTAGTGCTTCCTTCAGGAACTCTTGTAAAGCAGGCCTGGTGGTGATGAAATCCCTGAGCATTTGCTTGTCTGGAAACAATTTTATTTCTCCTTCACTTATGAAGCTTAGTTTGGCAGGATATGAAATTCTGGGTTGAAAATTTTTTTCTTTCAGAATGTTGAATATTGGCCCCCACTCTCTTCTATCTTGTAGGGTTTCTGCAGAGAGATCCACTGTTAGTCTGATGGTCACCTTTGTAGGTGACCTGACCTTTCTCTCTGGCTGCCCTTAACATTTTTTCCTTCACTTTGACCTTGGAGAACCTGATGATTATGTGTCTTGGGGTTGATCTTCTCATGGAGTATTTTAGTGGTGTTCTCTGTATTTTCTGAATTTGCATGTTGGCCTGTCTTGCTAGTTGGGGAAGTTCTCCTGGATAATATCCTGAAGTGTGTTTTCCAGCTTGTTTCCATTCTCCCTGTCTCCTTCAGGTACTCCAATCAGTCGTAGGTTCAGTCTTTTTACGTAGTCCATATTTCTTGGAGGCTTTCTTCATTTCTTTTCATTCTTTTTTCTCTAATCTTGTCTGCATCCCTTATTTCAGCAAGGTGGTCTTTAAACTCTGATATCCTTTCTTCCACTTGGTCGGTTCAGCTGGTGATACTTGTGCATGCTTCATGAAGTTCTCATGCTATGTTTTTCAGCTCCATCAGGTCATTTATGTTCGTCTCTAAACTGATTATTCTAGTCAGCAGCTCCTGTAACCTTTTATCAAGGTTCTTAGCTTCTTTGCATTGGGTTAGAACATGCTCCTTTAGCTCGGAGGAGTTTGTTATTACCCATCTTCTGAAGCCTATTTCTGTCAATTCAGCCATCTCATCCTCCATCCAGTTCTGCTTCCTGGCTGGCGAGGTATTGCAACTATCTGGAGAAGCAGCAGCACGCTGGCCTTTTGTGTTTTCAGCATTTGTTGTTGTTGTTGTTGTTGTTTCTCATCTTCATGAGTTTGTCTAGTTTGGATCTTTGAGGCTGCCGCCCCTTGGATGGGGTTTTTGTGAGGACTTTTTTGCTGTTGTTGATGCTGCTGTTGTTGCTTTCTGTTTGTTTTTCTTTCAATGCTCAGGTCCCTCTTCTTTAGTAGGCCTGGGGGCTCATTACAGGCCCTATTCATCTGGTTCGCTGCTGTGCCTGGAGGTATCACTCAAGGAGGTGGAGAACAGGAATCATGGGTGCCTGCTCCTCCTTGTGGGATCTCTGACCTCAAGGGGCACCAACGTGATACGAGTAGGTTCACTCCTGTATAGGGTGTCTGACATCCCCTGTTGGAGGGTCTCACCCAGTTGGGTGGCACAGGGAAAAAGATCCGTTTAACGAAGCACTTTGTCCCTTGGTGAAGGGGGTGTGCGCTTCACTAGGGGAAACCCACTCATCTGGGCTACCTGGATTCCTCAGAACTACCAGGAGGAAAGGCTAAGTCTGCTGATCCACAGAGATTGCGGCCACCTCTCCTGCTAGGGGCTCAGGCCCAGGGAGATCAGGGTACTGTCCCTGAGCCCCTGGCTGAAGTTGTACTTCCTGCATTGAGGCCCCACCCAGTGAGGAAGAGTGGGTCAGGGTCAGGCCTGAAGAGGTGCTTTGGCCACAGTCGACCATAGGGGTGTGTTGGGCTGTGGTGGACACATTTTGGGACCAAGTCAACCAGTCTCCCAGGCTCCGGCAGGGGAAAAGTGTGGGCTGGAGCTATAGAGATGGCTGCCGCCCTTCCCCCACCCAGGGAGCTTAGTGTGCTAGGCAGTTATCAGTCCCAATGTTGGGTGCTGCCCCTCCTGCAAGGAGCTCAAACAGCTTAGACAGCAGGCAGCTGCAGCTATGGTGCTAGTTTTCTCTCCCTCAAGGAACTTGGCAGGCTTAAGCAGATTCTAGCTGAGAGGCTGTTGAGAATCTGCACAGCTCTGGGGTTGGTACCCTAGGCACCAGTGGCATGGGTTCACCAGTGGAATCTTCTGATTTGTGGGTTGCAGAGTTCCATGGAAAAAGCATGATTTCCCTGGCTGGGTAGCATGCTCACTCACCACCTCCCTTGGCTTGGGGGTGGGGACTCGTATTTAGAGCTTTCTCAGCATACGATCATACCATTGGCAAACAGCACTAATTTGACTCTTTTCCAATTTGGATGCCCTTTATTTCTTTCTCTTGTCTTATTGCTCTGGCTAGGACTTCTAGTACTATGTTGAATAGAAGTAATGAAAGTGGGCATCTTTGTCTTGTTCCATTTCTCAGTAGGAATGCTTTCAAGTTTTTTTAAAGTCCATTGTAAAATGGACACCACAGAAATAGAAAAGATCATTCGAGACTACTGTGAACACCTCTACGCACACAAACTAGAACATTTAACAGACATGGATAAATTCCTGGAAGAACCTTCTTGGAAGTATATTATCCTCCACAATATGGAAATGAAGTAACATATGGAAATGAAACATGTTTTTCAATTTTTTCTGCTATTCATTGCTAATTTTATTCTACTGCAGTGGGAAAACATACTTTGTATTTTTTCTAGCCTTTTAATGTCATTTGGGTTTATTTTATGGCCTAGAATATGGTCTATCATAGAGAATGTTCCCATGACACTTGAAAATAACTTTCTTCTTTTGTTGTTGGGCAGAGCGTTACATAGACATCTGTTAGGCGCAGTTAATTTACAGTGTGGATCAAATCTTTTTTTCCTTGTTGATCTTTCTAGTTGTTCTATCCATTATTGAAAGTGGTGTGTTGAATTTTCCAAATACTGTTGTTGAATTACACATTTCTGTCTTCATTTCTATCAGTTCCCTTCACGTATTTGGGTGCATATATGTTTACAATTGTTATATCTTCTTCATAGATTGACCCACTTGTCATTATAAAATGTCTCACTTTATCTCTAGTCAGACTTTTTGACTTAAACTCTCTTTAAGAGATGGGGTCTTGCTATGTTGCTCAGGCTGGTCTTGAACTCTTGGCCTCAAGCCATTCTCCTACCTCAGCCTCCCAAAGTGATGAGATTAACAGGCATGGGCCACCAGGTCAGCATAAACTCTATTTTAATCTTTAAAGCCATTTTATATTTTAAGGCTAAAGTACAGCCATTCCGTTTTTCTTGTGGTTCCTGATTGCATGGTATCTTTTCCCATCCTCTTACTTTCAACCTTGCTGTATCTGTGAATCAAGTAGGTTTTCTGTAGAATGCATATAAATGAATCATGTTTTTATCCACTCTGACAGTCTCTGCCTTTTGATTGAATTGTTCTATGCATTCACACTTAATGTTATGATTGATATAGTTAGATTTATGTCTCCCATTTTACTTTGTGTTTTCTATGTGTCCCATGTCCTTTTTTCCTCTATTTTCCTTGTCCACTTCCTTTTCCATTAAGTTAATATTTTCTCATGTTGCATTTTAATTTCTTTAATAATTTTTTCACTCTATTTTTGAAGGTAATTTTTAGTGGTTGCTCTAAAGTCTACCACATACATCTTATCAGAATCAGCTGCAGATTTATACCAACTTAAGTCCAATGATATATAGAAAATGATTTCTATATAATTCTATTATTTTCTTCCTTTTGTAGTATTATTGTTACAGATGTAACATCTATTAATCCTGATAATCCACTGTTATAATTACTACTATACCTTCTGTAGTCATTTCCTTAGTCCAACTTTGCCTCCACCCAGCTCCTTTATGCTGTAATCGACAAACATGTTATACATATATTTCTATATGCTATGGCCTCAACGATACATCATATACATATTATCTTACATAAATGGTGTTTAAATAAGTTATAAGAAAAAACAAGAAAATATGAATTTATACTGTCATACTTAATAGATATATGTAAAATATTACATAGATATATAGATTATATCAATATATATTTACATATTTACATACATTTATAATATCACATTTTCATACTTTATCACTGTTCTTTCCTTTTTGTGCATGTGGATTCAAATTATCATCTGAGGTAACTTACTTTCAACCTAAAGAAATTTCTTTAGTAGTTTTTATAAGATAGGTCTGCTAGCAAAAATTTTCTGTGTTTTTGTTCACCTGAGATAATCTTTATTTGGCCTTCATTCTTTTAAAGATAGTTTTGCTGAATATTAGACTCTTACTTGATGGGTTTTTTCTTCAACCATTTTGAATATGTTATCCAACTGTCTTGGAGCCTCCTTTGTCTCTGTTGAGAAGTCTGTTGTTCATATTATTAGGCTTCCTTTGTAAGTAAAAAATCTTTTTTACTTGCTGATTTCAAGATTTTCTCCTTGTCTCTGCCTTTCAGCCTTTTTACTATGATGTGTCTATTTGTGAATCTCTTTGTATTTATTCTGCCTAAAGTTTGTCGAGTTTCCTATATGTGTAGTTTTTTAAACAAATTTACTACGTTTTCAGCCATTCTTTCTTTGGATTTTTTTTCTGATTTTTCTCTCTCCTGTCCTTCAGCACTTGCATTCCATGTGTGCTGGTATGCTTAATGGTGCTCCACACTTTTCTGAGTCTCTGTTCATTTTTCTTCATTTTTTCTCTTCCTCTATTTTTCAGCTTGATATCAATCTATCTTAAAGAATGCTATTTTTTCTGCTAGTTCAATACTACTATTCAGCCTGACTAATAAAATCTTCATTTCAGTTACTGTACATTTTGACTGCAGGATTTCCATTTGGCTCTCTTTTATCCATTCTTTTTATTGATATTCCCCATTTGTCATGACATTCTCACTGTACCTTCCTTTACTTCCCTAATCATGCTTTCTCTTAGTTTTGTGAAAATATTTTCAATGGCTACTTTGAGGTCTTTTCAAAGAAGGCTGACATCACATTGTGCTCACAGGTAGTTTCTGTTGCCTGATTTTTTCCTCATATGTGGATCATACTTTGTTTCTTTTCATGGTTCATAAATTTTGTTGGAATATGGACATTTTAGATAATTTATTGTAACAATTCAGGGTACTAGTCTCCCCTAATGGGGCTGGTTATTGGTATTTACCTATTTGCTTAGTTCCCACAGTCACTGAGAACTGTCAGTAGTATTGGAAGAGATCTTACTCTTTCCCTGACCGCATTCAGCTGTTTTATATATACTACATTTTTTTATATTTTTACATATACATGTTTCTTTTTTCTTTTTTGATTTTTTAAACATTTTATTCTATACACATTAGGCTTTCGAAGGAAAAAAAGGCACACTATAGTATTTTAATCTTTAGTATGTTTTAAATGTGTTTGATAAGATACAAAATATTGTTCGAACTAGTCCTCCGAAATTAATTACACAGTTATCTCAATGTGCCATTTCTTGAATAATGCAGGCTTTACTTGCTAATATAGAGTGTACCCATGCAGAATTTACCGGCTAATATACAGTGCACCCAAATTAATCTGCCAAATTCCACGTTTTTGTGTCTATCTGTGAAGTTTCTACTGATCTGTTCATTCCAACATTACTATCATATTGCTTTAGAATTCTTAATATTTGATGTGCAAGCATCACCCTGTTATTCTTTTATTCAATGTTTTTCTAGCTTATCTACATGCTTATATTTAGATGAAATTTAGACCAGTTTCATTTCTCCAAAACCCTGTTATAATTTTGATATCCAGTAAACTTTCAATTAATTCAAAAGAGTATATAGCTTGGTGACACTTCTCTTCATATTAGAAACCTTGATATGTTTATCAATTTATTTAATTTTTACTTTACCCCTCACTGGAGAATTTGAAGGTTTCGCCTGATTCTTGTTAACATCTGAGTGCCATGATTTATTTGTTGACAGTGGGGATGAGATAGTTTTTCATTATAACATTTTTCCTGATTCTCGTTAAATATAACAATAATAGGCAACATTTCTGAGTGCTAATTGCCTACCAACTCCTTGTGTTAAGCACTTTACTACTTAATTTTCCCCCACCCTATAACTCATGATTCGCATGAAGAAACTGAGTCTTAAGGAACTCTGGAACCCTACCTGAGGTTTCACAGCAAGTAAGTGGCAGTGCGTACTATCTTACTAGCAGGGAAAGACTTGATTTCAAGTATTCTAAACTCTATTTCTAGTAGTCTTTCAGTGGATAGTCCCACTTTTTTCAGATAGATCATCATATCAACAAATAATAATTGTTCCTACTCCTTTCAAATACTTTTATTTTCTTCCTTTTTTGAACTACTTATACTGCATGTATCTATATTAATTATTTTAACACATATACATATCATAACACACTAATCACCAAACACTTCAAGAATAGTGTAAGATGACAGGATTGAAAATAAGAATTACACATTATTCCTTTAACATTGAGTTTCCCAGCTTTGAAGTAGCTGAAATAATTATATCGCATAAAAACTTTGTTATATTTTTCACTTTCTTATTTTCAAAAATTATAAAATTGGGTGTAAGACATTCTTAATTCTAAGAAAATGTTGATTTTGCTTATCTTCATGTTTTTATTCAATTAAGGACTTTTGGTAAACATTTGCTGGTGTTAATGTTAAAAGAGAGTTGGGGAAATGGATGGAGGCAACCAGAGTGAAGGTTCAGAGTTCCTTCTCCTGGGGATGTCAGAGAGTCCTGAGCAGCAGCGGATCCTGTTTTGGATGTTCCTGTCCATGTACCTGGTCACGGTGGTGGGAAATGTGCTCATCATCCTGGCCATCAGCTCTGATTCCCGCCTGCACACCCCCGTGTACTTCTTCCTGGCCAACCTCTCCTTCACTGACCTCTTCTTTGTCACCAACACAATCCCCAAGATGCTGGTGAACCTCCAGTCCCATAACAAAGCCATCTCCTATGCAGGGTGTCTGACACAGCTCTACTTCCTGGTCTCCTTGGTGGCCCTGGACAACCTCATCCTGGCTGTGATGGCATATGACCGCTATGTGGCCATCTGCTGCCCCCTCCACTACACCACAGCCATGAGCCCTAAGCTCTGTATCTTACTCCTTTCCTTGTGTTGGGTCCTATCCGTCCTCTATGGCCTCATACACACCCTCCTCATGACCAGAGTGACCTTCTGTGGGTCACGAAAAATCCACTACATCTTCTGTGAGATGTATGTATTGCTGAGGATGGCATGTTCCAACATTCAGATTAATCACACAGTGCTGATTGCCACAGGCTGCTTCATCTTCCTCATTCCCTTTGGATTCGTGATCATTTCCTATGTGCTGATTATCAGAGCCATCCTCAGAATACCCTCAGTCTCTAAGAAATACAAAGCCTTCTCCACCTGTGCCTCCCATTTGGGTGCAGTCTCCCTCTTCTATGGGACACTTTGTATGGTATACCTAAAGCCCCTCCATACCTACTCTGTGAAGGACTCAGTAGCCACAGTGATGTATGCTGTGGTGACACCCATGATGAATCCCTTCATCTACAGCCTGAGGAACAAGGACATGCATGGGGCTCTGGGAAGACTCCTAGATAAACACTTTAAGAGGCTGACATGAGGGCAATTTGGAAAGACAGCATTAAAGTGGAGACTAGGAATATCCTTCACCCTATGTAAGGGATTGTCCTGTGTGTTATACAGCAGTGATTGGGACATGGCTCCAGCTCAGAGACAGCATATAGATATGTGGTGATAAAAAAGACATATTTGTAACCTGGTGTCCCCCAGGTCTCATCAGCCTTGGCCGTAAATAAGGTCACACTAACACCAACACTAGAATGTTGCAGGGTCAAATTCTTCAATGTACTTGACTACAGGGCCACATTCTTGGCCTTATCTGACTATATCCAGTTTAAACCTAGAAGTGTCTCTCATCTAGCACACATCCAAAGTACAGAAAGTAAATAGTAGCTGATAAGAAAGTTAGTCACATGGCTGTGGAGGTTTGAAAGAGATTGCAATCATACATATTTGTATCAGCTGATCCAGCACGTGATATAGACCTCGACAGGTGGTGTTCAATTCATTTGACATTCATGCAGTCATTCATCAACTCATTCTATTCATAATGACAGTGTACAGAGGCCTCAAACTGGGTTACAAATGTGAGGTCACAGTCTACTCGGGGAAGTACATAAATTTACATTAAACATAAATGGACCTAACTCATCAATTAAAAAGTAATGTTCAACATACTGATTAAAAAATAAAATATAGATAGATGTATTTAAAGAGACACGATGAAAGCACAGGAATATATAAAGCTTGAAATTAAAAAGAGAAACAGACATATTTGGAAAATACTAAATATTTTAAGTGAAATATTGCTGCAATGACATCAGGTAAAAGATATTTCAAAACGGGTGAAAGGAGTGATGTCAACAAGATGGTGGAATCGACAGTTGTATCTCTCATCCACCAACATACAGACTAATTTATCAACCATCCACAGATGAAAATACCTTTGTGAGAGCTCCAGAATCCAAGTGAAAGTTTATAGCACCCTGGTAGTACACAGAAGTAGAAAAAACACCATATTGAACATTGTAGAAAAAACTCTGTCACATTACCTGAATCACCCCTCACCCAAGCCAGCACAGAGTAGCACAAAGAGAGATCCCCTCATCTCATGAGTTCTTCCATAAGTAAAAAAGAAAATAAAACATATGTACAACTTCCCCTGACTTTCAGGATGCTAACCAAGAGGACCACTTCTGTCATGCCTCACCAAGAATACTGAGGCAATTCACATGGCCAGACCCCTCTGAGTAGCTAAGAACAAGAAAAAAAAAAAATAAGAAAATGGTTGGGAGCTCTTAATAGTCAGTATGTGTATTTTAACAACTGGGGCCTTGCACCCTACAGTGGGCCTGTGCATGGTGCCCAGAAGCTGGCCCATCCACCCACATCCCCAAGCACTAGGCCTGCCTGCCCATAGACCCTGCCAACTGGCCAGCCCAGAATATCTGGCTAAGCTGACTGGTGAAAAACAGTTCCTATCAAATTGGACTTTCCCTATCAAAACCAGCCTGTAAAGACTAAAAGAGATGACTGCTTCTTCAAATGTGCAAACACAAATGTGAAGCTACAGGAAACACAAGGAATCAAGGAAACTTAGCAAAGCCAAAGGAACAAAATAAAGCTTCAGAAACCATCAAAGAAATGGAGAAATATGAACTGCCTGACAAAGAATTCAAGTGATCATTTGAAGAAACATGGTGACCCACACAAAAACACAGGTAAACTACTAAACAAAATCAGGAAATCAATACATAAATAAAATGTAAATTTCAACAAACAGAAACCACAAAAAAGAAACAGTAATTCTGGAGCTAAATAATACAATGACTAAACTTTAAAAAACTCAAAAGAGCTTCAGCAGCAGATATGAAGAAACAGAAGAAAGAATTCACTACTCAAAAACAGGTCATTTGAAAGTACTAGTAAGAGAAACAAATGGAAAAAGAGTGAAGAAAGCCTATGGGACATATGGGACCCATCAAACAAATACACACATTACATAAGTATCAGAAGGAAAAGTGAAAGAAAAGGAGGCAGAAAACTTATTTTTCTAAAAATGGCTATTCACAGCAGCCACCACAGGCAGGAAAACAGAAACCTGAAAGTGCTGCTTGCTTTCTCAACAGGGAGACTTGCAGCCTGGAACAAGTTTTCAGCCCTGCTCACCAGCTACCCGGAAATAAACTCAGCACTGTTAGGGGTAGGGCACATTGGGAGTGACATGGCCACTTGGACAGCATGGGAGCTGGGTGAGGCCTATCACTGCTGGCTTTCCACCACTTCCCTGGCAACCTGTATGACACAGCAGAGGCAGCCATAATCCCCATGGGAACATAACTTCATTGGCCTGTTAACCACACCCCCATCCCTCACAGTGGCCACAGCAAGCCCCACCGAAGGAGAGTCGGAGCTCACACATGCCTAACCCTGCCCCAACCTAATGGTCTTTCTCTACGCACCCTGGTAGCCGAAGACAAAGGGCATAATCTCTTGGGAGCTCTATGGTCCCACTCACCACCTGAGAAACTGGAATACTTATCCAGGCCACCTTAGGGCAAGTTTGTATCCCCCCTATGCTACCACAGCTGGTGCACTCTTGAAAGGACCACCTCTTGGCTGGAGGCCAACTAGTACACTAAACAAAACTTCAACCAAGGACCATAGACTCCTAGATAAACACTTGGACCATGAGAGTTCACTTTACTCCACTGCTACCTCCACTGGACCAGGCACTGGTATCCATGCCTGAGGGACTGAAGACAGATCACATCACAGGACTCTTCACAGACACCCCCCAGTACCAGCTCAGAGCCCAGAAGCTCTGTTGGATGGCTAGACCAGCAGAGAAATAACAATCATTGCAGTTTGGCTCTCAGGAAGCCCCATCCCCAGGAGATGGGGTAGAGCCCCATATCAAGGGGGGATCCCATGGACAAAAACAATCTGATAAGTAGCCCTTGAGCCCCAGATCTTCCTTCTGACATAGTCTACCCAAATGAGAAGGAACCAGAAAAACAAATCTGGTAATATGACAAAACAAGGTTCTTTAACACCCTTGAAAGATCACACTAGCTCACCAGCAATGGATCCAAACCAAGAAGAAATCTCTGAATTGCCAGAAAAAGAATTCAGAAAGTTGAGTATTAAGCTAATCAAGGAGGTGCCCGAGAAAGGTGAAGTTCAACTTAAATTAAAAAAAAAAAAAGTAAGGGTGGAGACCACCCCTCATATTGTCTTATGCCCAATTTCTGCCTCCAAAGAAAGAAGTAAAAACTAAAAGGCAGAAATGAAATCTAAAGGCAGACAGCCTGTCACCACGCCCTGGGCCTGGTAGTTAAAGATCGACCCCTGACCTAACTGGTTATGTTATCTATAGATTACAGACATTGTATGGAAAAGCATTGTAAAAATCCCTGTCCTGTTCTGTTTTGTTCTGATTACTGGTGCATGCAGCCCCCAGTCACGTACCCCCTGCTTGCTCAATTGATCATGACTCTCTCACGCAGACCCCCTTAGAGTTGTGAGCCCTTAAAAGGGACAGGAATTGCTCACTGGGGGAGCTCAGCTCTTGAGACAGGAGTCTTGCCGATGCTCCTGGCCAAATAAACCCCTTCCTTCTTTAACTTGGTGTCTGAGGAGTTTGGTCTGCAGCTCTTCCTGCTAAAAAAGATACAGGATATGAAGGATATGAAAGCAAAAATCTTCAGTGAAATAGATAGCATAAATAAAAAACAATCACAACTTCTGGAAATGAAAGACATATTTAGAGAGATGTAAAATGCACTGGAAAGTCCCAGCAATAGAAACAAACAAGTAGCAGAAAGAACTTCAGAGTTCAAAGACAAGGCTTTCAAAAGCCCAACCCATCAAAGACAAAGAAAACAGAATTTTAAAAAATGAACAAAGCCTCCAAGAAGATTGTGATTATGTAAAATGGCCAAACCTAAGAATGACTGGTGTTCCCAAGGAAGAAGAGGAATCTGAAAGTTTTGAAAACATATTTGAGGGAATAATTGAGGAAAGCTTCCCTGGCCTTGTGAGACATTTAGACATCCAAATGCAAGAAGCTGAAAGAACAACTGGGAAATTCATCACAAAAAGATCATCACCTAGGCACATAGACATCAGGTTATCCAAAGTCAAGATGAAGGGAAGAATCTTAAGAGCTGTGAGGCAAAAGCATCAGGTAACGTATAAAGAAAAACCTATCAGGTTAATGGCAGATTTCTCAGCAGAAACCCTACAAGCTAGAAGGGATTAGGGTCCTATCTTTAGCCTCCTTAAACAAAACAATTACCAGCCAAGAATTTTGTATCCCATGAAACTAAGCTTCATAAATGAAGGAGAGATAGTCTTTTTCAGACAAACAAATGCTGAGAGAATTCGGCACTACCAAGCCAGCACTACAAGAACTTGTAAAAGGAGCTCTAAATCTTGAATCAAACCCTTGACATACACCAAAATAGAACCTCCTTCAGGCATGAATCTCACAGGACCTATAAAACAATAACAAAATGGAAAAATAAAACAAGCTCTTCAGGCCATCAATTAGCATGACAAATAGAATAGTAGCTCATATCTCAATAGTAATGTTGAATGTAAATGGCCTAAACACTCCACTTAAAAGATACAGAATGGTAGAATGGATAAGAATTCACCAACCTAGTACCTGCCATCCCCAAGAGACTCAGCTAACACATAAGGACTCACATAAACTTAAGGCAAAGAGGTAGAAAAAGATATTCCATACAAATGGTCACCAAAGCAAGCAGGAGTAGCTATTCTTAGACGAAACAGACATTAAACCCACAACAGTTAAAAAAGACAAAGACGGACACTACATAATGATAACAGGACTAGTACAAAAGGAAAACATCACAATCCTAAATATATATGCACCTAACACTGGAGCTGCCAAATTTATAAAACATTTACTACTAGACCTAAGAAATGAGATAGACAACAGCACAATAATAGTGGGGGATTCCATACTCCACTGTTAGCACTAGACATATCATCAAGACAGAAAGTCAACAAAGAAACAATGGACTTAAACTATATCCTAGAACAAATGAACTTAACAGATATTTATAGAACATTCTACCCAACAATTGCAGAATATGCATTCTACTTATCAGCACACGAAACATTCTCAAAGATAGACCATATCATGGGCCACAAAACAAGTCTCAATCAATTTAAGAAAATTGAAATTATATCAAGTACTCTCTCAGACCACACTGGAATAAAATTGGAAATCAACTCCTAAAGGAACCCACAAAACCATCCAAATACATGGAAATTAAATAACCTGCTCCTGAATGATTGTTGGGTCAACAACAAAATCAACAGGAAAACTTAAAAATTCTTTGAAATGAATGATAATAGGGACACAACCTATCAAAATCTCTGGAATACAGCAAAAGTAGTACTAAGAGAAAAGTTCACAGTATTATTACATTAAGAATTCTAAAAGAGCACAAATAGACAACCTAAGGTCACACCTCACGGAACTAGAGAAACAAGAACAAACCAAACCCAAACCCAGCAGACAAAGAGAAATAACAAAGATCAGAGGAGAACTGAAGGAAATTGAAAAATAAAAATAAAAATCATAAATGAAACAAGAAGCTGGTTCTTTGACAAGGTAAAAAAAAACTGATAGACCATTGGCAAGATTAACAAAGAAAATAAGAGAAAATTCAAATAAGCTCAATTAGAAAAACGTGGGAGATATTACAACTGATACCACAGAAATACAAAACATTATTCAAGGCTACTATGAATACCTTCATGCACACAAGCTGAAAAACCTACAGGAGATGGATAAATTCCTGAAAATGTACAACCCCCCTAGATTAAACTAGGAAGATATAGAAACTCTGAACAGACCAATAAGCAGCGATATTGAAATGATAATGAAAAAAATGACAACAAAATAAAGTCCAGGACCAGACAGATTCACAGTTGAATTGGTACCAATCCTATTGACACTATTACACAGGATAGAGAAAGAGGGAATTCTCCCTAAATCATTCTATGAAGCCAGTATCACTCTAATACCAAAACAAGGAAAGGACATCACAAAAAAAGAAAACTACAGACTAATATCTCTGATAAACATAGGTGCAAAAATCCTCAACAAAATACTAGCTAACAATCTAATGGCTTGTCAAAAAGATAATCCACCATGATCAAGGAGCTTTTATACCAAGGATGCAGGGATGGCTTAACATACACAAGTTAATAAATGTGATGTACTACATAAGCAGAATTTCAAATAAAAAGCACATGATCATCTCAATAGATGCAGAAAAAGCATTTGACAAAACATCCAACATCCCGTTACGATTAAAACCCTCAGCAAAATTGGCATAGAAGGGACATAACTTAAGGTAATAAAAGCCACCCATGACAAACCCATAGCCAATATTATACTGAACAGAGAAAAGCTGAAAGCATTTCCCCTTGAGAAGTGGAACAAGACAAGGATGCTCACTGTCACCATTTCTATTCTACATCGTACTGGAAGTCTTAGAGCAGTCAGACAAGAGAAAGAAGTAAAGGTCATCCAAATCAGTAAAGAGGAAGTCAGACTGTCGCTGTTCACCAATGATAAAATCATATACATAGGAAACCCTGCAGACTCATCCAAAAAGTTTCTATAACTGATAAATGAATTCAGTAAAGTTTCAGGATATAAAATTAATATACACAAATGAGTAGCACTACTATACATCAGTAGTGACCAAGCTGAGAAATCAAGAACTCAACTCCTTTTACAATACCTAGAAAAAATTAAAATACTTAGGAGTACACCTAATCCAGGAAGTGAAAGACCTCTACAAGGAAAACTCCAAAACACTGTTGAAAGAAATCATAGAAGGCACAAATGGAAACACATCCCATGCTCACAGATGGATAGAATCAATACTGTGAAAATGACCATACTGCCAAAAGTAATCTACAAATTCAATGCAATTCCCATCAAAATACCACCATTATTTTTCACACAACTAGAAAAAACTATCCTAAAATTTGTATAGAACCAAAAAACAGCCCACATAGCCAAAGCAAGACTAAGCAAAAAGAACAAATCTGGAGGCATTACATTACCCGACTTCAATCTATACTAGAAGGCCATAGTCCCCAAAACAGTATGGTACTGGTAAGAAAATAGGCACATAGACCAAGGGAACAGAATAGAGAACCCAGAAATATGCCCAAATACTTAGAGCCAACTGGTCTTTGACAAAGCAAACAAAAGCATAAAGTGGAAAAAGGAAGCCCTATTCAACAAATGATGCTGGGATAATTGGCTAGCCACATACAGGAGAATGAAACTGGATCCTCATCTCTCATCTCTTACCAAAATCAACTCAAGAAGGATCAAGGACTTAAATACAAGACCTGAAACCGTAAAAAATCTAGAAGACAACATTGGAAAAAGCCTTCTAGACATTGGCTTAGGCAAAGACTTCATGACCAACAACCCAAAACCAAATGCAACAAAAACAAGGATAAACAGATGTGACTTAAACTAAAAGCTTCTGCAACAGCAAAAGAAATAATCAATAGAGTAAACTGACCACCCACAGAGTGGGAGAAAATCTTGTAAACTATGCATCTGACAAAGGACTAATATCCAGAATCTTTGGGAACTCAAACAAATCAACAAGAAAAAAATAATAATAATAATCCCATCAAAAAGTGGGCTAAGGACATGAACAGAAAATTCTCAAAAGAGGATATACAAATGGCCAACAAACATATGAAAAAATGCTTAACATCACTAATTATAAGGGAAATGCAAATTAAAACCACAATATAATACCACCTTACTCCTGCAAGAATGGCCTTGATCAAAACATCAAAAAATAATAGATGTTGGCATGGATGTGGTAAAAGGGAAATATTTTCACATTGCTGGTGGGAATGTAAACTAGTACAACCACTATGAAAACAGTGTGGATATTCCTTAAAGAACTAAAAGTATGTCTGCCATTTGATCCAGCAATCCCACTACTGCGTATCTACCCAGAGGAAAAGCAGTCATATACAAAAAAGATACTTGAACACACATGTTTATAACAGCACAACTCGCACTTGCAAAACATGCAACCAGTCCAAATGCCCAGCAGTCAATGAGTGGATAAAGAAAATGTCCATATGTCCAAATATATATATATTTATAAATACACACACACACACACACACCCCTTGGAATACTACTCAGCCATAAAAAGGAATGAAATAGTGACATTTACAACAAGGTAGATGGAACTGGAGACTATTATTCTAAGTGAAGTAACTCAGGAATGGAAAACCAGACATGGTATGTTCTCACTCATAAGTGGGAGCTAAGCAATGAGGACATAAAGGCATAAAAATGATACAATGGGCTTTGGGGACTCAGGGGAAAGGGTGGAAGGAGGTGAGGACTACACATTGGGTAGAGTGTACACTGCTCAGGTGATGGATGCACCAAAATCTCACAAATCACCACTAAGGAACATCCTTGTAACCAAATACCACTTGTTCCCCAAAAACCTATTGAAATAAAAAATAGGGGATAAAAAGCAATGGCTATAATGATATCAGCAAAATGGCAGAATAAAATGTCCTAGCCTTCTCTCCCTGCAACAGAAAGTTCTACTAGCAGCTATCCACAGACAAGTATACCTCAGTGAAAACCCCCAAACCTTGAGAATAAGCCTGAAATACTTGTGTGTATCACAGAAACAAATAAGAACTGCATTTGAAGAGCAAGAGAAATGCACTCACTTCAACCACATTGTCCCTTGCCCTCCCTCAACATGGCACAGTGCCATAAACAGAGAATTTCCCTGGGCCCACAGTTTCTACAGTGGGAAAAGGGAGCTGAAGATGGACATCTAGCTTCCCTAGCATTCTGAGACATCTCTCAGGATGCCCACTCCAGTCTCACCTCACAGAGATCACAGGGGGTAATGACATGGCTCACTGCCTGTGGTCAGATAGAAACAAAGAATGGAGGTATTGCTCACAGCAACTAGTGCTCACATTTTGATGGTGCTCTGTGCTGTGGCCTGCAGAGGCATCCAATCAAAGGTACCAGCTCAGCTCGTCCTCAAAGCCCACCTCAAGACGCCATCCAGCGAGGGAGAAATGAAACACGGCAACTGTTGGCAAAGTACAAAGCCTGACTTACACCACCCAGAAATTCAAACAGCTCTCAAGTCAGCCTCAAAGCTTATCCAAGACCCCACCCAGGGAGGGTGTTGCCCAATACAATGCCTTTCAGTAAACAATGGGCTAAACTTAGACCACCCAAAAATTGAAATAGCAGTTCACATCAGCCTCAAAACCCACTCCAGGGCTTCACCCTGACAGGGAGCCAAGCCTCAACCATACATCTCTCTGATCATAGCAGCTGATCCTGATCATCCCAAGTAGTAATTCTGACTAACCTTGGGGTCCAACCTGCAGCCTGACCCAATTGCAGAACTCAAATAGAGGTCCTGCCTGGCCAGTGAACATACCCTGTGTTTCAGCCCAATCAGAAGCAATTGCAGCACCCAGCCAGAAGTTCTGCCTGATTCCAAAGCCAAGCCTGTGGTCTAACGGAAAATGGAGCCTAGCCAGTAGTCCCATTCCAACCTCAGAGCAAAGGCCTTGGCCCCACAAATGAGAGAACCTGATGGCAGGCTCTGTCTATTCCATGTCATTACCAGCTGGCCCATCCAAAATCACAGGCTAGACTTAAGAGTGAAGGTCTATCCCAAGAATACCTGTAAAATCTGGAAGAGCTGACTATTTCCTCAATGTGCAGACACCAACAAAAGACACAAGGATTATGAAGAATCAGGGAATCATGACACCTCCAAAAGAAAAAAAACTAATAAAGATATAACGATAAATCCTGCAAAAATGAAGATCCATGAAAGGATTCACAATAAATCCAGAATTGTCCTCTTAAAGAAGTTCAGTGAACTACAAGAATATACAGATAGAAAATTAAATTCATTTGGAAAATAATTAAGAATACAAATAACTACAAAAAAATATAAAAATATGTAAATTCTGAAATCAAGGAGATATATGTGGAAGTGTGAAGATTATGTGTGGAGTTTTTCTATGTGGATAAGTTGTTATCAGCTTCAAACAGATTGTTATAAGAATTTCTATCCAAACCTCATGGTGACCACAAGGAAAAAGCCATTGTACAATAAAAAAATAAGATTGACAGGGCATGGTGGCATGTGCCTGTAGTCTCAGCCACTCAGGAAGCTGAAGTGGGAGTATCCCTTCAGCCTAGGAGCTGGAGACCACAGTAAGCTAGGATCGTGCCACTGCAATCCAGCCTGGGCAACAGAGTGAAACCCTGTCTCTTAAAATTAATAAATAAAAGTAACTTAAAAATAAAGAAAAAAGGATAAAATTATATCACTATTTTAAAAAATCATCAGATCACAAAAAATACAATAAGAGATGGGCATCAGTCTTTCCCAGCATTCCAAGATACCTATCAGGATGCCCACTCCAGTCTCACCTCACAGAGATCACAGGGGGGTAATGGCATGATTGACTCACTGTGGTCAGATAGAAACAAAGAAGGGAGGTATTTCTTTGAGAAAGAGAACCAAAGACTGACAAAAAAGGCAGAACACAATCACAAATTGACCATAGTAAGTGTCTGCCTATCAGTAATTACTTCAATAATTACTTCAAGTATAAGAAAATCACACTCATTATTCAAAATATATACAGCAGCTGAATGAATTAAAATACATGATCCAACTATGTGCTTTCTACAAGACACAAGCTTTAAATTTAAGGACACACAGAAACTGAAAGTTAAGGGAAGAAGAAAAATACATTCCATGCAAATAATAACCAAGTGATGTGGTTTGGCTCTGTGTCTCCACCCAAATCTCACTTCAAATTGTAACCCTTAGTGTCAGGGGAGGAACCTGGTGGGAGGTGATTGGACCATGGCAGCAGATTTTCCTCATGTTATTCTCATGATAGTGAGTGAGTTCTCCTGAGATCTGATAGTTTAGAAGTGTGGCACGTCCCCCGCCCCTCTCTCTCCCCTGCTGCCATGTAAGATGTACCTTGCTTCCCTTTCACTTTCTGCCATGATTGTAAGTTTCCTGAATGCTTCCCCAGCTATGCAAAAATGTGAGTCAATTAAACCTCTTTTTTTATATACATTATCCAGTGTCAGGTAGTTTTTATAGCAATGTGAAAATGGACTAATACAGAAAATTGGTATCAGCGGAGTAGGGTACCTCTATAAAGATACCTGAAAATGTAGAAGCAACTTTGGAACTGGGTAAGGAGCAGAGGTTGGAACAGTTTAGAAGACTCAGAAGAAGAGAGGAAGATGTAGGAAAGTTGGGAACTTCCTAGAGATTTGTTGAATAGTTTTGGACAAAATGTTGAA
Source organism: Homo sapiens (assembly GCF_000001405.40). Taxonomy (NCBI): domain Eukaryota; kingdom Metazoa; phylum Chordata; class Mammalia; order Primates; family Hominidae; genus Homo; species Homo sapiens. The sequence continues at coordinate 3,080,666 of NC_000017.11, read as the reverse complement.
AGTGATAATGGACATTGAAGTCCAGGCTGAGGTGGTCTCAGATGGAGATGAGAAACTTAGTGTGAACTAGAGTAAAGGTCATTCTAGCTATGCTTTAGCAAAGACACTGGAGGCATTTTGCCCCACCCTAAAGATCTGTGGAACTTTGTACTTGAGAGTGATTATTTAGGTTATCTGGTGGACGACACTTCTAAGCAGCAAAGCATTCAAGATGTCACCTGGCTGTTTCTAAAAGCCTATAGTCATATGCATTCACAAAGACATTATCTGAAATTGGAACTTATGTTTAAAAGAGAAGCAGAACATAAAAGTGTGGAAAATTTGCAGCCTGGCCATGCAGTAGGAAAGAAAAACCCATGTTCTGGGGAGAAATTCAAACTGGCTGCAGAAATTGCATAAGTAACAAGGAGCCGAATGTTAATAGTCAAGACAATGGGGAAAATGTCTCCAGGGCATTTCAGAGACCTTCACAGCAGCCCCTTCAATCACAGGCATGGAAGACTAGAAGACTCAATGCAGCCATGGGACATGGCACCCTGCATCCCAGCCACTCCAGCTCCAGCCATGGCTAAAAGGGGCCAAGGTAAAGCTCAGGCCATTGCTTCAGAGGGTACAAGTCCCAAGCATTGGTGGTTTCCACGTGGTGTTGGGCCTGCAGGTATGCAGAAGACAAGAGTTGAGGTTTGGGAATCTCAGCCTAGGTTCCAGAGGATGTATGGAAATGCCTGGATTTCCAGGCAGAAGTCTGTGGCAAAAGCAGAGCCCTCATGGAGAACCTCTACTAGGGCAATGCAGTGGGGCTGGAGCCCCCCATAGGAGAACCGCCTAGTGGAGCTGTGAGAAGAGGGCCACCATCCTCCAGCCCCCAAAATGGTAGATCCACCAACAGCTTGCACTAGGTGCCTGGAAAAGCCACAGGCACTCAATGCCAGCCCATGAAAGAAGTTGCAGGGGCTGTATGTACCCTGCAGAGCCACAGGGGTGGAGCTGCCCAAGGCCTTGGGAGCCCACCTCTTGCATCAGTGTGCCCTGGATGTGAGACATGGAGTCAAAGGAGATTATTTTGGAGATTTAAGATTTAATGGCTGCCCTGCTGGGTTTTGGACTTGCATGAGGGCTGTAGCCCCTTGGTTTTGGTCAATTTCTCCCTCTTGGAATGGGAGCATTTACCCAATTCCTATATCCCCATTGTATCTTCGAAGTATCAAAGTAACTAACCTGTTTTTTATTTTACAGGGTAGTGGGCAGAAGGGACTTGCCTTGTCCCAGATGAGACTTTGGACTGAAAATTTTGAATGCCTGAATGAGTTAAGACTGTTGGGAAGGCATGACTGGTTTTGAAATGTGAGAAAAACATGAATTTTGGGAGGGGCCAGGGTTGGAATAATATGATATGGCTCTGTGTCCCACCCAAATCTTATCTGGAATTGTAATCCCCACATTTCAGCGGAGGGAACTGGTATGAGGTGATTGGATTATGGGGGCAGATTTTCCCCATACTGCTCTCATGATAATGAGTGAGTTCTCATGAGATCCGATGGTTTAACAGTGTGGCACTTCACCCTCCCCTTCTCTCTCTCCTGCTGCCATGTAAGATGTGCCTTGCTTCCCCTTTGCCTTCCACCATGATTGTAAGTTTCCTGAGGCCACCCCAGCCATGCAGAACTGTGAGTCAATCAAAGCTCTTTGCCTTACCTAGTCTTTACCCAGTCTCAGGTAGTTCTTTACAACAGTGTCAAAACAAACAAATACACCAAGTGTCCAGGGTGGCTATACTTACATCAGATAAAATGGACTTTAATTCAAAAGCTGTTACAAGAGACAAAGAAGGTCATTATATAATGACAAAATGGTTGATTCCACAGGAATATATAACAATTATAAATATACATGTACCAAACATCAGAGCACCTAACTATATAAAGCAAACATTGACAGATTTTAAGGGATACATAAAAGCAATAAAATAATAGTAGGAGACTTTGATATCCCACTTTCCATAAAGGATTTATAATCTGAACAGAAAATCAACAAAGAAACACCAGATCTGAACAATGCCATAAACCAATGTATGAGTCAGACATGTACAAAACATTCCACCCAACAGCAGCAGAAAACACATTCTTCTAAAACAGACATGGAACATTTTCCAAGAAAAATCACATGCTAGGTTACAAAATAATTGTTAACAAACTTAAGAAGATTGAAATCATTCTGTGTGCCATTTCTGGCTATTAAAAATGAAAAATGAATTCAATAACAATAGGAAAATTATAGATTATATGAAAATTAAACACTCCTGAACAACTATTGACTCGAAGAAATTAAAAAGGAAATTAAAAAATATTTCAGGGAAAACAATGAAAATAAACACAACATACAAAAACTTAAAAGTTGCAGCAAATGCAGTACTAAGAGGGAAATTGACAGTGAGAAACTTACATTATGAAAGAAGAAATATCTCAAATAAACAACCTAACTTTACACTTAAGGAAGTAAAAAATAAGACATTAAACCCAAAGTTAGCAGAAGGAAGAAAATAATAAAGAATAGAGCAGAAATAAATGAAACATAAAATAATATCAAAAATAGACAAAAGTAGACATCGTTTTTTGGGGAAAAATGTGAAAAAATTAACAAACTCTTAGCTAGAATCATTTTTAAAATAAGAAATACTCAAACAAAATCAGAAGGGGTGAAATTTCTATAATCTATGGCCATGGAAATTAAAAAAGGTCAGAAAGGATTATTATAAACAATTGCAAGCCAATTAATTGGACAGCCTGTAAGAAACTGATAAATTTCTAGAAACACACAACCTTTCAACCTGAAGAAGTAGAAAGCCTAAACAGTCCAATAACAAATAAGAAGATTGAATCAGTAATTTAAAAAACAAACTTTCCAGCAATAAAAGAAACATGAATGGATGGCTTCGCAGGTAATTTCTACCAAATATCTAAAGAAGAATTAATACCCAAACTTTTTAAATTCTTCCAAAAATAATAGTAGGAAACACTTCCAAACTCATTTAATGACACCAGCATCACTCTGATACCCAAGCCAGACAAAGACACCACAAGAAAGGAAAACACAGACCAGTATCTCTTATGAACATAGATTCAAAATACTCAGTAAAATATAAACAAACCAAATTCAACAGCACAATACATAGCCAAGTAGGATTTATCCCTGGATGCAAGGTTGATTTGACATACACAAATCAGTCAGTATAACATACCACACTAACAGAATGAAGGATAAAAACTACATGATTATATCCATAAATGCAGAGAAGGCATTTGACAAAATTCAAAACCATTTCATGATGAAGAGTCTCAACTAATTAAGTATAGAAGTCATTTACCTCAACACAATAAAGGCCATATGTGAAAAGCCCACAGTGAGCATCATACTCAATGAAGAATAACTGAAAGCTTTTCTTCTAAGATTTGGAAGAAAGCAAGGATGCTATGTTGGCACTTCTATTCAACATAATACTGGAAGTCCTAGACAGATCAATTAGGAAACAAACAAACAAAAAGACATCAACTAACACAGGAACGGAAAGCCAAACAACGCATGTTCTCACTCATAAGTGGGAGCTGAACAATGAGAACACGTGGACACAGGGAGGGGAACATCACACACCGGGGCCTGTCAGGGGGTTGGGGGCTAGGAAAGGGATAGCATTAGAAGAAATACCTAATGTAGATGACGGGTTGATGGGTGCAGCAAACCACCATGGCACATGTATACCTATGTAACAAATGTGCCCGTTCTGCACTTGTATCCCAGGACTTAAAGTATAATAATAAAAAAAGAAGACAAAAAAAAATCCAAATCAGAACAAAATAAAATTATTTATAATCTTTTATGTAGAAACCCATAAAAGACACCACAAAATAAACTAGTAGAATGAATTAACAAATTCAGTAAAGTTGCAGGATATAAAATCAATGTATAAAAATCAGAGACATATAGACCTTATACACACACACACACACACAAAATATATTACTCAGTCATAAAAAGAAGTAAATCCTCTATTTGTGATATGGATGAACCTGGAGAACATTACACTAAGCAAAATAAGCCACACAAAGAAAGACAAAAACTGCAGGATCTCACCTATATGTGGAATCTGAAGACGTATAGCTCAGAGTTAGAGAGTAGAAGGATCCTTACCAGAGGCTGGGAAGGATAGTGGTGGGGGGAGATGGCTAATGGGTACAAAAAATCATCAGAATGAATAAGGCCCAGGACAGGGTGACTATAGTCAATAATAATGTAATTATACATTGTAAAATAACTAAAAGAGTATAACTGGATTGTTTGTAACACAAAGGATAAATATTTGAGGGGATGGATACCCCATCTTCCATGATGTGATTATGATACACTGCATGCCTGTATAAAAGCATCTCATGTACCTCATATATACACATACCTACTATGAACTCACAAAAATTAAAAATTAAAGTTTTTTTTTAAAGTATAGCTCACAAAAGCAGACTAAAAGAGTGGTTGCCAGAGGTCAGGAGATGGAGGAGTTGAGGAAGCATTGGTGAAAGGTAACAAACTTTCAGTTATGAGCAAGTTCTGGAGAGCTAATATATAGCACGGTAACTATATTGTGTTGTTGTTGGTGGTGGTGGTGGTGTTTTAGAGGCAAGGTCTTGCTCTGTCACCCAAGCTGGAGTGCAGTGGCAGGATCATAGTTCACTGTAGCCCCCAACTCCTGGGTTAAAGCAATTCTCCCACCTCAGCCTCCCAAGTAGCTAAGACTATAGGCACACACTGCCAGGCCTGACTAATTATTTATTAATTTCTCTAGAGATGGGGTCTCACCATGTTGCCTAGGCTGGTCTCAAACTGCCGGCCTCAAGTAATCCTCCCACCTCAGCCTCCTAAAGTGCTAAGAATACAGGCCTGATCCACCATACCCAGTCTATAGTCAATAATACAATGTTACAAAGTCAAAATTTGCAAAGAGAATAGATCTAGTGTATTCTCACACCAAAATAACAGTAACTATGTGAAATGATGGATATGCTAATTAGCTTGATTGTGGTGATCATTTACAATAGATATATATTACATATATCAAAACAGCACTATATAAACCTTAAATAATTTTTATTTGTTAAGTATACCTCAATAAAGATGTGAAAAAACCATTTACACAGCAACGCAGTATGGAAAGGATGGTCTTTTCAATAAATGGCACTGGATCAGTTGGAGATTCATATTTGTGGAATAAAAATATATCTTGACCTATACCACACCTGATATAAAAATCAGTTTTAGATTGATAGTAAATCTAAACATGAGTGGTAAAACAATACATCTTTTAGCAGAAAATATAAAAAGAACATTGGCAAATATTACCTTTAAAGGATGCAAAAAGCAATAATTCTGAAATGAAAATTGATGAATTGGACTACGTTAAAATTAAAATCTTCTGTTTCTCAAAAGCCACCATTAGTTGCATAAAAGCCAACCCACAAACTTGACACAAATAGTCTATTAGGTTGGGGCAAATGTGATTGCGGTTTTTGCCATTAAAAGCAATGGCAAAAACCGCAATCAACCTAATACCAAGCATTTGCGAAGACTCACAAAGCATTTAAGGAAATACAAACCAACATAAAAAGATAACATAATAGAAAAATAAGCAAAATACTTGAATGGGTACTTTACACAAGAACATATGTGGTAGGTAGATAGACAACAAAGAGAGATGATAGACAGACACAGATAAACAGCCATATAAGAAAGTACTTGACCGCATTACTCAACATGAAAATACAAATTATAACCATAAACAAAACCACTACACACACATCAAAATATCTTCAGATACCACCTTATGTTAAAATTTGGAGCAACCAGAACCCCCATACACTGCGCGGGGAAATTAAAATGGAGACACGTGTTTGGAAAACTGTTTAGCCCTGTTGACTACACAAAAGTCTGCCCTAGGTTACAGAAATTCAAAGCCAGGTATATATTTCCATCAGAAACGTGCATCTGCCCTTTTCAGAACAAGCCCAACTGGCTACTAATGTCTATCAATGGTTAAATGCATTTATTAAATGGTACATTCACACAATACAATGTTAAACAGCAATAAATATGAGCAATAATATACAACCACATACAACAGTGTGGCTGAATCACACATATATAAGGTTGAGTGAAAGAAGCAGATACAAAAGAGAACAAACTGTATGATTTAATATAAAGTACAAAAATGAATAAAGCTAATTTATGCTATTAGGAGTCAAGATACTGATTACCCGCGTAGGAACAGGGACTACAGAGGAAAATGAGGTGACTTCTGGAGGGCCAGTAATGTGTTTTCATCTGAGTGCTGGTTACTCATTATGACTGTTCCATTTGTAAAAGTCACTGACGAAATTTTCAGGTTTCATTTTATTTTCTAAGACACCATAAGCATGACTGTTTTAATCTGTGTCTAATAATTATATTATCTGGAGTCCCTATATGCCTCCCATCTGCTGGTTCTTGCTATTGGAATCCTTCATCCTTGTGTGTCTTATCTTCGGATGTATGTTGGATACTGTGCTTGAGAAAGTATTAAGAGAAGTAATTTGAGCTCTAAGGGGGCACTGTTCCTCCAAATAGGATTTTTTTTCAATTGCTTTTGCTTAGAACTTGGGGTCACTAGAAGTCTAGATCATCCTAATCGAAGTTTAGTACTTCAGATTTTCCACACTTCTGGTAAGTCAAAGCCAGGCTGCAATATGTATGAGGGCTGCTTTATCTCTGGCCGACTACCAGCGTGTGTTTTAGGATTGCTGCGCAGTAAGGAGCTGGTTTACTTCTCATAAACTGGACACATTTCTCAAGGTTCTTGCCTCTAGATAATAACATTGGAGCAATTATCCATGTTCATTTCAAGAGGCTACCTTGGGATTGTATCTCCAGGGCCGCTCCAAAACTGATAAGGTCTGATACAGTCCCTGTTTAGTCCTTTCCATCGTGAATCTGGGATCCCAACATCAGTTCTCAAATCCCCCCAGGCTCATCAGGGCATAAAGAGCCTCAAATTCTGTCTCCTCTTTTGCAGGGACTGAAGATGCAGGTAACAAGTTCTCTGCTCTTTACATTTAGCAAATAGGACAAGTCAGCAAGTTCTATTCAGGAAATAATGCATTGTAGTCTCTTATGTCCTTACTGAATTTTCATCCTGTAGAGCAGGAACGTGGAGGCAGCCGAACCAGTGAACTCTGAGAGCAGCACAGAGCAGTGGGTAAGGTGCGTCCGCCTCAGGCTCATGCTCCTTCTCCCTCTTCCCTCTTATCTTCTCCTCCATTTTCTCTCATATTTGTGGGATAAAAAATATATCTTGACCTATACCTCACCTGATACAAAAATCAGTTTTAAATTGATAGTGAATCTAAATGTGAATAGTAAAACAATAAATCTTTTAGCAGAAAATATAAAAAAGGACATTGGCAAAGATTTAGCAAAGATTTCTTTTAAAGGATGCAAAAAGCAAACATACTCACATCTTCATAATCTAACTGCTAAGGGTTTAAGGTAAGATAACAATTCCTCCAATCCTTTTGGCACTCTGCAGTTTTCACGGGCTCACTGGCACCCGCCCTGCTGCCTGTGATTCTCACAACCTACAAGAATGCCCACATGGTGGCTCTGGGGGACTGACTGCCCAACTCAAAGTCCTACAGCTGGGGAGCAACAGAGGCGGCACAAAGGCCAGTGTCCCAACAGCAAGCTTGCAGCACTTTTCTGTAACACACGCACACTCGCTGTCCTCTCCCCCAGGCCGCGCTACGTAGGAGTTTGTGTCTCTACGGCCTTCACACCGCACGAGCGTTCAGAACCCGCTGACTCTTCTGGGCTGACAGCAGTGTTTCCCAAAGCATAGGATCAGAATCACTCGGGGCTCACTAAAAAGAACTTGGTCCTCAGAACAGAACCAGCACCTCCGAGAAGGGGCGGGAAAATCAGCTTTTTGTCTTGGAGCATCGCAGGTGATCCTAGTGCTCACTGCAGCGTGGGAGATGATACCTTTAGGGCGGGCGAGCAGAGGTGTCCAGTCCTCTGGGCAGCCTTGGTTTTCTGAAGTCCCATCACCTCCCTCCTACCTTCTCTCCTGTTAGGAAGATGTCCCACCCAGAAGGCGGGAAGGAAGTAGTTTCTTCTGGGGTCTAAGAAGGTGGAAGCCGTTTCTCTCCATGGCAGAAACAGAGGTGGTGGGCGAGTGTGCTCAGGATTGGGGCCCTGCAGGGAATCACCACGGTGCTGCTTTTCATGCTCAGGTCACGTAGGGGCCTTGGGGTGATCTCAGGGATGAGCCCATCAGCTCCCTCTTTTTCATTGTAACCGCTTTTCTAAGAGGCAAGCAGAGCTTTGGTCATGGGCTCATCTCTGCCGTCAAATCGCTCTGACTTTGCGCAGATCTCTTCGGATCAAGGTGCACGTTAAGTTCTGGAGTGTGGGAAATAAACGGGCTCGTTTGTGCTTAGAGCCATAAGACAACTAACAGATAAGAGATGTGGGAAGCTGTAGATACAAAGAGTCTCCGGAGCATGTGCTCAGGGTTACTCCCACTTTCACTGAAATGCCAGAGGACCACTCCATCATGAATGTGTAATTTGGAACCTTATTGCTAAAAAAGGCCTTAACCAGCACTTAACTTCCACTAAATGCTCCAATTGGCTCTGAAACGATCGCTCAGCCCATGGCATCGTGCAGCCTGTTCTAGTCCCTTCTGTGACGGGGAGTTCACCTCCTTCCCAGTGCCCTTCGCTGGCCCAGTACTTAAGTCTTCTGGGTGACAGCCTGGCTCCTATTTCTCTCTCTCTCTTTGCCCCCTGGTTTCTGATCGAGGCAGTGCTTATCCCTTTGTATGGGAAGCCCATCATAACATGTCCCCCATCTGTCTCCCATGTAGCCGCACCAAGTGTCTGGACACGATTACGTCCCAACCCTGACATCCTGGACCACTCCCTGCAGACCCCAGGGTGGACTGAGGGATCCCAGGGTGCCTGAGTAGGGGGCAGAACCAGGTCCAGGATGGAGAACAGTTTCCTGCTGGAGTGGGCTGGGAGACAGAAGCTGGAGGAAACGGTTAAACAGGACTCCCTTTGCCATCCCCATAACAGCACCTCCCATTTAAAATCAGCTTTCAAGCTAGAGAACTCCTTCCACATTCAGGATTTCAGCTCTTAACGTTGCATAAAGTAGACATTATTGCTGTCCTTTAACACGCGGTCGAGTAGTTGGGGCATCAGCTTTGAGTCAGTAAAGAGGGTTAAATACTGACCCCATTCTTTTACAAGCTGAGTAACTGTAAAAAGATTATTGCTCTTCTAATTCTTGGTGGAATCATCTCTCATAGAGCCAAATAGTTCCGTGTGTGCGATAAATAAAAGACCTTAATATAGATAAGGCACGTAAGCACATTCTCTGTCCAAGTGCTCAGAAATGAGGAGTTATTTGCCGGGGGTGGGTGGAGTGGGGGGAAACGTTGTATGCGTTAATCTAGGATTTGAATCCACACTTCTGCCTCAAACTTTCCTTTCAGTATACCACTGACCCTAGATATCAGGGAAATCAAATCTGTAAATTGAGATTTAAAAGTCCATTCATGGCTGGGCACAGTGGCTGACACCTGTAATCCCAGCACTGTGGGAGGCTGAGGTGGGAGGATCACGTGAGGTCTGGAGTTCGAGACCAACCTGACCAACATGTTGAAACCCTGTCTCTACTAAAAATACAAAAATTAGCTGGACATGGTAGTGGGCGCCTGTAGTCCCAGCTAGTCAGCAGGCTGAGGCAGGAGAATTGTTTGAATCTGGGAGGCAGAGGTTGCAGTGAGCCGAGATCACGCCACTGCACTACAGCCTGGGTGACAGAGCAAGACTCTGTCAAAAAAATAAAATTAAATTAAATTAAAATTAAAAAAACACATTCATTTGCTAAATGCTTGCCTGCCCCATCCTACCTCCACTAAAGCTTGTAGCTCCAACTTACTTTAACCTTCTACATTGCTCACAGTCCCCACATCAACATTTTCTTACCCAGCTGCTACTTCAAATTTATCCTGTTCAAGACTGAATTTGCAGAACGCGCTCCACATTGCCCTGGCATCAGCTAGTTCCCTAAGCAACCACATTTTCATCGATACATAGGCGCCAGGTCTCATGACTCTTGTCCATTCATTTATGTCAAATGCATGAAATGTCTACTATTCTATACAGTTTAGTTCAACCTTGTTTTACTGATCTCTACATTATGCCTGGCATTGTGCAAGATCCTGAGGATGCAGGAATTCAGAGTAATGTCCCTACCCTTGAGACTCTCTCAGTCTTGCAGAGAATGGATAGTTAAGCAAAATGTGCAAAGGGTCAATCCGAAAAAGAATACAAAGGCCAAAAACAGTGCAGAAACTGGAGTGGTTACTCTGGGGTGGGAGATGTCAGGAGGAGGAGACGCTTAAGCAGGTGCTAGAGCAGGTCTTACCAGGCTGACAATTGAAGGAAAAAAATTCAGTCTGGAAAAGCAGAATGAAGAAAGCATATTTGGTGAAAAGGAACAATCAGTATGAAGGACAGAGACAAAATATTTTGTGTATTCTAGAACCATACAAACTGCAAAGGCACTGCTAGAGTACAGAGTGGAGGGCAGGCAAGCAGGAGAGTCCACTGGGGCTGAAGCATCCTGGGCCTTGACCGCCTGGCCATAAACTTGAGCTATTGTGGGGGAAATGGGGAGCCTCAGCTACAGTAGGGAAAATACACGATAAATTTGTCCAGAAGCATGCTTCATGCTCAGGCAGAGGTGAGCACTCTACCTCGGCTTTCCTGGTATGTTCCTGTGGTTGTTCTTGGAGCAAAAGCTCACGATGGGAGTCTCCAAAGGCTGCTCTGTCCGTCCAAGTGGGAACTGCAAGTTAGTCCTGCCTCCTATCCACCATTTTTCCTACACTCCCCGAGTCCCTTAAGTTTTGGAAAGTTGTATCTTCACTTTCATTTATCTTTTGTTTCTGTTGCTTCTTTGATTCATTGGTTATTTTGGAGGATGGTGTTTGATTACCAAAAATATGTGAGTTTTCTCCATTTTTTCTTCTTTCCATCGCAAATTTCATTCCTTTGTAATTGAAGTACACACTTTGTGTTATTTCCATGTTGAATATCATTGAGGTTTGTTTTATGCCCTTGCATATGGTCTGTCTGGGGGAATATTCCAAGGATGGCTGAAAAGAATCTTGTTCTATTTTGAGGTGCAGTTTTCTATAGATATCTGTTAGGGATACTCCATTTGACACCTCTGTGTAACATTTTGGTAATTCTCACAACATTTCAAACTTTGTCATCATGATTACATCTGTTATGCTCATCTGTGGCCAGTGATCTTTGACGTAACCATTGCCATTATTTGGGGGTGCCATGGACCACACCCACATAAGAAGTAGGACGGAATCAGTAAATGTCTTGTGTGTTCTGACTGCTGATCAGCGATTCCTCCATCTCTGATCAGCCATTCCTCCGTCTCTCTCCCTTTCCTCAGACCTCCTTATTCTCAGACATATCAATATTGAAATTAGGCCAGTTAGTAACCCTACAAAGGCCTCTAGGTGTACAAGTGAAAGGAGAGTCACATGCCTCTCACTTTAAATCAAAAGCCAGAAATGATTAAGCTGGTTGAAAAAGACAATCGAAAGCAGAGATAGGCCAACAGCTAGACCTCTTGTACAAAACAGTTAGCCAAATTGTCAATGCAAAGGAAAAGTTCTTGAAGGAAATTAAAAAGTGCTACTCCACTGCACACACAAATGACAAGAGAGTGAAACAGACTTCTAGCTGATATGGAGAAAGTTTTAGTGGTCTGGATAGAAGCTCAAACCCGCAATAACATTCCCTTAGGCCAAGGTCTAATACAGAGCAAGTTCCTAATTCTCTTCAGTTCTGCAGAGGCTGAGACAACTAAGAAAGCTGCAGAAGAAAATGTGAAGCTAGAAAAAGTTGGCTCCTAAGGTTAAAGGAAAGCAGCCCTCTCCATAACATAAAAGTGCAAGGTGAAGCAGAAAGTGATGATGTAGAAGCTGCAACGAGTTATCCAGAAGATCTAGATGAGATAACTGACGATGGTGAGTACATTAAACAACAGATTTTCAATGTAAACAAATCTGCTTTCTCCTGGAAAAAGATGTCATCTAGGACTTTCATAGCTAGAGAAGAGAAGTCAATGCCTGGCTTCAAAGTTTCAAAGACAGGCTGATTCTCTTGTTATGAGCGAATACAGCTGGTGACTAAGTTGAAGCCAGTACTCACTAACCATTTCAAAACTCTTAGGGCCCTTAAGAATTAGGCTAAATCTATTCTGCTTGTGCTCTATAAATGCAACAACAAAGCCTGAATGACAGCACATCTGTTTATAACATGGTTTACTGAGTATCTTAAGCCACTGTTGAGATCTACTACTCAGAAAATAATATTCCTTTCAAAGTATTATGTTCATGGTCACCCAAGCACTCTGATGACAATGTGCAAGAAGGTTGATGCTGTTTTCATGTCTCTAGCACAATATCCATTCTGCAGCCCAGGGATCAAGGAGTAATTTTTACTTTCAAGACTTATGATTATATAAGAAACACATTTTGTAAGGCTACAGATGCCATAGATAGTGATTCCTCTGATGGATCTGGGCAAAGTAAGGGAAAGCTTGGAAAGGATTCACCATTGTAGATGCCATTAAGAAATTCATGATTCATGGGAGGAGGTCAAAATATCAACATTAATAGGAGTTGGGAAAAGTTGATTCCAATGCTCATGGATGAATTTGAGGAGTTCGAGACTTCGCTGGGAGGAAGAGTTCTGTAACTGCAGGTGTGATGGAAAGAGCAGAGAACAGAATTAGAAGTGGAGCCTGAAGATGTGACTGAAGAGCTACAATCTCGTAATAAAACTTGGACCGATGAGTAGTTGCTTCTTACGGATGAGCAAAGAAAGCAGTTTCTCGAGATGAACACCACTCCTGGTGAAGATGCTGTGAACATGGTTGAAATGACAACAAAGAATACAGCATAGACATGAACTTATTTGATAAGGCAGTGGCAGAGTTTGAGAGGATGGCCTCCAATTTTGAAAGAAGTTCTACTGTAGGTAAAATGTTGTCAGGCAGCATCGCATGCTACAGAGAAATGTTTCCTAAAGGGAAGAGTCAACTGATATGGCCAACTTTATCGTTCTTGTTTGAAGAAATTGCCAAAGCCACCCCAAACTTCAGCAACCACCACACTGGTAAGTCAGCAGCCGTCAGCATCAAGGTGAGATCTTCCACCAGCAAAAGGATTATAACTTGCTGAAGGGTCAGGTGATTGCTATCATTTCTCAGCAATAAGGTATTTTTAATTAAGGAATGTACATTTTTAGACATAATGCTCCTGCACACTTAATAGCCTACAGTATAGTGTCAACGTAACACGTATACACTGGGAAGCCACAACACTGTGTGATGCGCTTTATTGCAATATTTGCTCTATTGAGGTGATCTGGAATCAAACTCACAATATCTCCAAGGTACGCCTGTAGCTGGGTTGTTTTTTTTTAAATATTAAGATTTAAAAACTATCATGCAGCTCACGCCTGTAATCCCAGCACTTCGGGAGGCCAAAGCAGGTGGAGCACTTGAGGTCAGGAGTTCAAGACCAGCCTGGCCAACATGGTGAAACCCCTTCTCCACTAAAAGTACAAAAATTAGCTGGGCATGGTCGTGGGCGCCTATAGTCCCACCTACTCGGGAG